>NT_187524.1:0-133041 GCF_000001405.40 Homo sapiens | reverse complement strand
CTGGGTCCAGAGGGAAAAACTGGGTGGTGACAGGGACTGGACAGGGATGCCACAGGGGCCCTGTGGGGGTGTTAGATGGGGTGGTGGCCAGTCTTTGCTCATAGGGGACCCCCTCCTCCTCTCCAGTCCTGTCCCCACCTGTTCTCAGAGCTGGCTCAAACGGCAGCTCCTCCAGGAATGTGTCCTTGGTTTCAACCTGGTACTCCCACCTGCAGGTCTTCCTGGAGTGTCTCCTCTTTCTCTCTGTCTCCCCATAAATCTAAGACGAGGGGGATGGATCTGCCCACTGCTACTCACCATATGACTCTTGTGAGGTTGATCAGTCTCCCCTGGAAGGCCAACAGCTGAAGTCCATCAGAAAGGGTCCTCTGGCCCAGAGCCAGCCCCTGCCCACCCCTGTCTTGCTGCACCCAGGGTGCAAGACCCAGATCAGGTCTGGGTGACAGGAGGGGTATAGAGGGGCTGAGGCTCAGGGGCCTTCTAGCCTAACTTGTCTGGAGACAGTTGGGGAAACTGAGACCCCAAGCAGGGAGGTATGGCTCCGAGAGATTATTCTCATTAATCTGGAACATTTTTGCAAGCTGTTAGGTATAGGAAGTCTGTCACAGGTAAGAGAAATGCTTTTTAAGAGCATGAGAGACAGCAGGGTTGTCACAATATTGAAACACCACCGTGCAGATTCACCAATTGCCACCACCGGGAGCCCCCTGAGAGTCATTGCAGATGCACAGCCCTCCCCTGCAACCCCTGGGCCTCCCCGTGGTCTGGCACCTAAAGGGTTATGCCTCATGGCGGGAATCAGGGCCCTCAGGGTGCCCTGCCCACTCCAAGGTCTGCCTCTGCTCTGATTGGTCACTGACATTCAGATTGTCACCCAAATATAAGGACGTTAGCAGAAAGACTCATTCAATACAAGTGGACTCAGACATAGATAGGAATTGGGTTGCAAAAAGCCCCTTTTGTTTATTTTATTTTGGAAAAAACTTTTATTGTGAAAATTCACATATATATATATATATATAAAAACTCAATCAATGCAAAAGGATAGACAATGAACAAATGAATTCCCCTTCCACTCCAGATCCCCAACTCAGATCCAGACCTCCTGAGCCCACTTCCCCCATCTCATCACAGATCCAGACCTCCTGAGCCCACTTTCCCCATCTCATCACAGATCCAGACCTCCCCCACTTTCCCCATCTCATCACAGATCCAGACCTCCTGAGCCCACTTCCCCATCTCATCACCAGTGATTTCTTGGGCTCTGCATTAGTTTTCTATTGCTGCTGCAACAAACAGCTACAGACTCAGTGGCTTCCATTTCTGTCTTATAGTTCTGGTTGCCAAAAGTCCTAAGAGGATCTCACTGGGCTAAAGTCAAGGTGCTGGCGGGGCTATGTCCCTTCTGGAGGCTCAAGGGATGAATCGGGTCCCTGCCTTTTCTAGCTTCTAGGGGCTCCAGCTTCTAGGTTTGTGGCCTCCTTCCTCCATCCTCAAAGCCAGCAACAGCAGGTGAAGTCCTCGCCCATCATGCATCACTCTCCCTTCTTCCTCCTTCAACTTTTTTTTTTTATATTTAGGGGGAACGAGTACCGGATTCTTACATAGTCAAAAAGCTCCTTATAGAGAAGCTTGGAACTTTCAATACAACTTTGCCTTTTTTGCCATTTTAATTTTCCATTTAATTTAAATGTATTCTCTCATTTGACCTTCATACTCTGTGGAGAAATATTCCTATTTCGGCTTGTATTGACAAGCTGTTTTCACACAGCCCCCACATCACCCAACCAACCAGCAAGAAACAGATAAAGAAACTGAGGCCCAGGGAGGCTGAGTCCTGCCAGGATCATTCACCTTTCAAGGTAGGGAGCCAGTTCCAGACCTGGGTTTGTGCAGCTCCAAGCTCCCCCGTCTTTCTACAATGCTAGATTTAGACTATAGCAATCTAGCAAGTGTGGCCACACAATGGTCAAGTTGGATTTAGATGATGTTCCCTATAAATCCATTCTCCTCTCCCGTGTAAGCAAGGCAAAGTACTCCAGGTCATGGGGAGTCCCTGAAGACTCGATGAACTGCAGTGGCCACATCAGGAGGTTGCAGGTTGACCAGAACTCACTGACACAGCAGGAGAGCAGCTTGGAACCTGCAACCTAGCCAAAACCTAGTGCCTTGGATTGGGGGAGAAAACAGGCAGCCATTCCTCTCTCTCTGCTGGCTAGAGGGGATTCTGGCTTTTCCTGCCAGAGCCACCCCTTTCCCTCCTCCTAAAGTTGATGGTGGTTCTTTAAGGAAAGGGAGAAGTGCACGGTGTGATAGGGCAGGAAGAGAAGAAAATGGAGGAGAGGAGGGGACTTTCCCATAAGCAGGCAGAAGAAAAGGCAGCTGTGGTGTGTGATGGACATGGATGCAGTGGTGTCCAATGTGGGGTCAGCCCTAGATGAGAGACAGAGAGAGAGAGACAGAAAAGTGAGAGTCCTGACCCTTACGATTAACATGGGATCTGCCTGCAAATGCTGTTTAGGGCCATCGCCTCTTCCTGTACTGCTATTTTTGAGAGTGATGCTCCTGAGCCCCATGACCCAGTCAAATTTGATGTCCCCTCGAGCCAGATTCAGTGCTGGGAGTCCAGTGTGATCTGCCTGGATCTTGCTGCATTGAGAACAGGCCAGATCTTGACCCCAATACAGGGGCTGGATATGAACAGGCAACAGCTGGGTTTCTGAGTCAGAAAGACTTGGTTAATTGCTAATTGCTTAGGTGAGTAATTTAATTTTGTTGAGTCAGATTCTTCAGCTACAAAATGCAGATGACAGTACTTATTCCTCCAGGTTGTGGGGAAAATGGAGATTCTAAGCACGATGTCCATTTCACAGAAAGGTACCAATTTGGTGGCTTATTTTCCTTTCTACCTTCAGAAGTGGCTATCCCTGCCACCCAAACAGACCCTTGACTCTCAAGTGGACGGGGTCCCATTTGCACAGGGGGAGACCTTACAGCCTACGTTGAGTCTATACTTACCACTTAGTGAGCATTGTGTCCGCTCAGGGGCCTCTGTGGGCATCCGTCTCCTCTGCAGCATCTTTCCTCCCCACTGCTGGGTCTGCACATGACCTCCTCCTTGGGTTAGGCCTCTGATCAGTGATGACCTTGGTATGGTGGTGATGGTCAGTCTTGGCATCAAATGAGCCAGTTTATATCATCAGCTATTCAATAAAATACCAATCTAGGTGTCACCGTGAAAGTATTTTGTGACATTGTTATGTACGTGTTGTTACAAATGTGCATGATGCATTTACTACAGCATAGAATTTTGCCTGGGTGCCAGCCTGAAGTCTGTCCGACAGATCATAGCCATGTTAGTCCCACAGTCACAGGGGCCAATTGATTAAATTATTTTATCTCCCTTGAAAACTAAAAATAAAATCCTAAGCCCCCCACCCGACTTAACAGACCCCCTGTTGGCCAACGGAACCTCAAATAAATCTTAAAATTCAGTTCTTGGCCATGACAGGACAGGAGGTCAGACATACCTCCCTGTACCTCCCTCCCTCTTATGGTTTAGACCCCACAACTGAACAGCATTAATGTTAAAATAGAGATCATGAGACTGACAGAACAGACTCTTTGTGGCAATAAGACCTCAAATTATAAACAGGACCTAGGGCCATGCCAGGCGAGCGTTAAGTCTTGTAGCCTACTCTTAAAGAATTAACTAGATTCTAACTACCACGTGGGTTTTATTTTTCTCTAGCAACCAAGCAAGCACTGGCTGTGAGAGAAGCAAGATTAAAACAATTACAACTCACCCAGTTCACAGACGCTGAGTAACTGATCTCCTGCCCCACTAACCTTAATGACAGCTTTCTCTGGACAAGGGACTGATTTCAGTAACTTTCTCCTGATAAGAGACCATCCTCCATGGACTGGTTCTGGCCAGTTTTGGAGGCTGTGCCTGTACAGAGGCTGAGTACCTTCATGTCCCTGCTTCACTTTTTGATGTGTAGGGCCTAATTATAATACATTTAAATGTCAAGTCTCCACCCCAGAATGAACATGCATGTTTATTGAATATGCATTCATTAGGACCTCTTTTATGAGTATTCTCATAAAATGATATAGCTCCTCTGATATCCTATTGAGTATGTATATGTAGCCAACTCATTTGGCTCAAATTCCTGTCCTCTCCTTCCCTCCCTGGAAATGCCTGCCTCTGGCCTTGGCTGTAGGCCACACTTCCCAGGCTGTCATAATGGCCACCTTGCAGACTGCAAACCTATATAAGAAATAAAGCTCTCTTTTCTAAATTTATAAAATTGTGTGATTTTTTAGTTGATGCTCTCTTTCTACACACACACACACACACACACACACACACACACGCAATTTATACAGAAGGAAATCTGGAGAATATATGTGGGAATGGATATTAAGTGTGTGGCACCATGGTGGAAGTAACATAAAGTTGGATTAGGCTAAATTTATTAATGTTGGCCCACTAAACAGAGATTCTGGACTCAGGGTTGTAGGTCAAAGCTTTAGAAAGGGCTCCAAGGGTTGGTTTGATCGGTTACTTGGTTGGTTGTTTGCTTGGTTGGTTGGTGCTTGCTTCCTTGCTTGGTTGTTTGGTTGGTTTGTTGCTTGCTTGCTTGTTGGTTGATTGGTTGGCTGTTTGCTTGTTTGGTGACTTGGTTGGTTGGCTGAAACAGAATCAGAGTTTACCTAAGGTACATAAAGTTGAGATGCCACAACTTCCTTGGTTTATGTGTACAGAAAGGTATGCAAAAACTCAGGGAGACTGGATTTATTATGTCAGACCTGCTCACTCACACTGGAGGGTCTACGGAACATACTCCTCACAACGATCATGAGAAAGAATATTGTGAGAGGAGCCCAGTATCCTGGAAGAGCTTTGAGCTTGTGCTCTCAGTAGGCAAAATGTTACAGCAGGAACTGCAGCCACTGGACTGGGATCTTTAAGTAAAATGAGGATAATTGAATCCTGGGGTGGCAGGGAACATGGGCTGTCCTTAATCACCAAAGATGAGGTGGGTGTGGTCACCACAGTGGAAAGCAGTGTCAAAGCAGCAGTCAGAATGGTTTGACTCACAGACACCCACGGCATTGTGTAGTCCATGGTATCCACAGGGAGAGCTAATGGGCTGTACCAAAGTCTTAGTTGTTCTTTAAAAAATGAAGAATTCTAGGTCAACTGAATAAAAGACTAACTCAAATTAATGAAACACAGATCTAAAACCCTCAATCAATTCCCAGACTTGAGCCAGTTCACAGGCCCACAACCCCTTAAGTGAAGGGGAGGCTGGGTGATCTTGGGGAAGTACGCTGCTACGTTGCCAAAAATTTACATTGTTAATCTTTTTCCCAGTCTTCCCCAAAGGGACTTACAGCCTTCTGCCAGGATGACTGTGACTTAAAGAAAAGAAAATTCTCAGATATTTGGGGAATTACTGGACACTGGCTCTCATTTGACACTATTATCACTATGTTGCCTAGGATGGATTCATGCTCCTGGGTTCAAGCAGTCCTCCTACCTCAGCCTCCCAAAGTGCTGGGATTACAGACATGAGCCACTGTGGCCAGCAGAGCTTTGAAACTAGAACATGGAGGTCCAGTGGTAAAGATCTGACAAGTCTGGGAAGAGATTGGGCCAAGGCAATGTTGATGATTCTTTTTTTTTTTTTTTTTTTTTTTTTACAACAGAGTCTTGTTCTGTTGTCTAGGCTGGAGTGCGATGGCGCGATCTCGGCTCACTGCAACCTCTGCCTCCGGGGTCCAAGCAATTCTCCTGCCTCAGCCTCCTGAGTAGCTGGGATTACAGGTGCCCACCACCACACCAGGCTAATTTTTTATTTTTTTGTGTTTTTTGAGACAGAGTCTCACTCTATATCGCCCAGGCTGGAGTGCAGTGGCGCAATCTGGGCTCACTGCAAACCCCGCCTCTCAGGTTCATGCCATTCTTCTGCCTCAGCCTCACGAGTAGCTGGGACTACAGGTGCCTGCCACCGTGCCTGGCTAATTTTTTGTATTTTTAGTAGAGACGGGGTTTCATTTCACCATGTTAGCCAGGATGGTCTTGATCTCCTGACCTCATGATCTGCCCGCCTCGGCCTCCCAAAGTGCTGGGATTACAGGGATGAGCCACCATGCCCAGCCACACCAAGCTAATTTTTGTATTTCTTTTTTTAGTTGAGACAGGGTTTCACCATGTTGGCCAGGCTGGTCCCTGACCTTGTGATCCACCCGCCTCGGCTTCCCAAAGTGCTGAGATGACAGGCATGAGCCACCCCGCCTGGCCAATGTTGATGATTCTAAACAGCAGCCGTTAATGTGAAAACCATCCAACTGGAAGCCCTGGCCTTGCCCAGAGGACACAGTCTGGGTGGTGGGCAGAGACTTCAGCTGCCTTCCAAGGCAAGCAGCTCCTTGCTGCCCGCTTGCTGGGGATTTTACTTACAGGGCAGAAGCTGGCAGGTGATTTGGGGGCAGGAATTGCTTCCTGGATGGTATAGGATGAACCACACTCCCCAGGAAGGCACTCATCCTGGTGGCCTAACAGAAGCAGCCCTCACCCCAAAAGGCAATGCTGCTCCACTAGTTTTATGGGGTGACTCCTTCCTGTAGGTTCCTTCCAGCTTTACCAGAAACACAGAACATCTTTCCTGACAGGGCATTGGTTTTGTTTTTGAACAGAGAGATCCTTCTTTTAAAAAGTTAGTTTTTTGTTTTCTTTTGTTTTGTTTTTTGTAATGGAATCAACCTAGGTCCTAAGCCTAGCAGGTTGTTATTATTATTTTTATGATTATTTTTTGAGATGGAGTCCCACTCTGTGGTCCAGGCTGGAGGGCAGTGGCACGATCTCAGCTCACTGCAATGTCTGCCTCCTGGGTTCAAGAGATTCTCCTGCCTCAACCTACAGAGGAGCCAGGATTACAGGCATGCACCACCATGCCCGGCTAATTTTTGTACTTTTAGTAGAGATAGGGTTTTGCCATGTTGGCCAGGCTGATCTCAAACTCCTGACCTCAGGCGATCCACCCACCTCAGCCTCCCAAACTGCTGAGAATACAGGTGTGAGCTGCCATACCCAGCCACAGGTTATTTTTGCTGATCTTCTCCCTCCTCCCACCCTCAAAGAAAACGCGGTACATCTACACCATGGACTACTACGCAACCCTGAAAAGGAACAAAATCACGGTTGTTTTTTTTTTTTTTTTTCTTTTTCTTTTTTTTTTTTTTTTTTGCAGCAACATGGATGTAGCTGGAGGCCATTATCTTTTTTAATTATTTTTATTATTTTTTTTCTATTCTACTTTAAGTTCTGGGGTATATGTGCAGAATGTGCAGGATTGTTACATAGATATACATGTGCCATAGCGGTTTGCTGCACCCATCAACCCATCATCTACATTAGATATTTCTCATAATGCTGTCCCTTTCCCAGTCCCCCACCCCTGCAGTAGGCCCCAGTGTGTGATGTTCCCCTCTCTGGGTTGATGTGTTCTCATTGTTCACTTCCCACTTATGAGTGAGAACATGCACTGTTTGGTTTTCTGCTCCTGTGTCACTTTGCTGAACATGAGGGTTTCCAGCTTCATCCATGTCCCTGCAAAGGACATGAACTCATCTTTTTCATGGCTGCATAGTATTCCACAGTGTCTATGTGCTACATTTTCTTTATCCAGTCTATCACTGATGAGCATTTGGGTTGGTTCCACATCTTTGCTATTGTGAACAGTGTGGAGGCCATTATCTTAAGTAAATTAATAGAATGCTGCGTGTTCTCACTTATAAGTGGGAGCTAAATGTTGTGTATATGTAGACACAGAGAAGGGAACAGATATTGGGGTCTAGTTAGGGGGAGAGAGGAAGGTAGAAGGACAAGAGTTGAAAAAACCAACTGTGGGGTATTATGCTCACTACCTGGGTGATGGGATCACTCATACCCCAGACCTCAGCATCACACATCGTACCCATGTAAGAAACCTGTACATGTACCTCCTGAATCCAAACTGCTCCACCATTTGCACCAGCAATTCCAAGACTGGGCATCTACCCAAAGGAAAAGAAGTCATTCTACCAAAAAGACACATGCATGGTAAAGTTCCTTTTTTTTGTTTGTTTTTTGAGATGGAGTCTCACTCTATTTCCCATGCTGGAGTGCAGTAGCAATCTCGGCTCACTGCAACCTCTGCCTCCAGGGTTCAAGTGATTCTCCTGCCTCAGCCTCTTGAGCAGCTGGGATTACAGGCATGCGCCACCATGCCTGGCTAATTTTTGTATTTTTAGTAGAGACAGGGTTTCACCATATTGACCAGGCTGGTCTCGAACTCCTGACCTCAGGTGATCTGCCCACCTTGGCCCTCCAGAGTGCTGGGATTACAGTGCCTGGCCCTGTAAGGTTCATCACAGCACGACTTACAATAGGAAAGTCATGGAATCAACCTAGTTGCCCATCAGTGGGGTACCGGATAAAGCAAAAGTGGTTCTTCTACAGCATCGAATACTACACAGCCATGAAAAAGAATAAAATCATGTCCTTTGCGGCCACATGGATGTAGCTGGAGGACATTATGCTTAATGAATTAACACAAGAACAGAAAATCAAATACCACATGTTCTTGTCTGGATAAAGCAATTGTGGCCCTTCTACACCATGGAATACTACACAGCCACGAAAAAGAATAATGTCATGTCCTTTGCAGCCACATGGACACAGCTGAAGGACATTATGCTTAGTGAATTAATGCCAGGAACAGAAAATGAAATACTACATGTTCTCAACTGGATAAAGCAAATGTGGCCCTTCTACACCACGGAATACTACACAGTGATGAAAAAAATAAAATCATGTCTTTGCAGCCACATGGATGCAGCCAGAGGGCATTATGCTTAGTGAATCAATATGAGGAACAGAAAATCAAATACCACATGTTCTGCACTAGATAAAGCAAATGTGGTCCTTCTGCATCATGGAATACTACACAGCCATGAACAAGAATAAAATCATGCCCTTTGCAGCAACGTGGATGAAGCTGAAGGGCATTATGCTTAGTGAATTAATGCCAGAAACAGAAAATCAAATACCACATGTTCTCAATTAGATAAAGTAAATGTGGTCCTTCCGCATCATGGAATACTACACAGCCATGAACAAGAATAAAATCATGCCCTTTGCAGTCACATGGATGAAGCTGAAGGGCACTATGCTTAGTGAATTAACGCCAGGAACAGAAAATAAAATACCACATGTTTTTGCTTATAGGTGGGAGCTAAACATTGCCTGCACCTGGACACAATGAAGGGGCACCACAGACCCTCAGGACTAATAGAGTAGGAAGCAGGGGCGGGGGTACAAGGGTTGAAAAACTACCCTGAGATTCTTTGAATTTCAGGCAGAAGGCAGCAACTGGAGAGATCTTTGGGTCACGGATTTTTCTGTTGCATTTTCTTGCTTGTTTGTTTTCTATCTCTCTCTCTCTCTTTTTTTTTTCTTTTTTTTTGAGATGGAGTCTCACTCTGTGACCCAGGCTGGAGTGCAGTGGTGCAATCTCGGCTCCCTGCAACTTCTGCCTCCTGGATTCAAGCAATTCTTCTACCTCAGCCTCCCAAGTAGCTGGGACTACAGGCACCTGCCACCACACCTGGCTAATTTTTGTATTTTTAGCAGAGACGGGGTTTCACCATGTTGGCCAGGCTGGTCTCGAACTCCTGACCTCAGGTGATCTGCCTGCCTTGGCCTCCCAAAGTGCTGGGATTACAGGCATGAGCCACTGCACCTGGCCCTCTTCTTATATATTTCTAGAACTCCTCTCGAATTTGGGGTTTGTTTTTCTTAATTACAAGGAATCAAGTTGAATCATTAGTGCATATATAAATATACATTTTATTTTTAGTACACATTATATACCTCAGGAATGTACAATGCTCAGCGCCTGGGTGACGGGATTATTCATACCCCAAACCTCAGCATCGTACAATATCCCCAGGACACAAAGCTGCCCGTGGATCCCCTGAATCTATAATAATAATAATTAATAATAATAATAATAATAAATAAAAAGTGACTTTGTCATTCGCAGGGAAATGTGAATGACATTCACTCTGCCTCTCAGGTCCTTGGATTCCCAAAGTTTGTTTTCCTCACGCCCAGGGGACACTCAGAATGTCGTTTGCAGAACACGGGTTGTTTTTCTTAGAAACGCCTTGCAAAACAAAATAGGAAGCAAAATCTTTCTCACTCCTTCCACTCCATAATAGACAAAATAAAATGAGGGGGCAGGAATCCAGAGACTTTGACCACAGTTGGCAGATTTATTGTGGTACAGACATGAAGGCAAGCAGTGTTCTCTCTGATTCTACGAACTGTACAGCCCGGGCCAGGTGCCTTCTGCTTTCTGGATGGTGCAGGCGTGAGCTCCAAGCCCAAATTTCACTGGAGCTCCAAGAATCGAGCCTGGCCCAGGCACTCACTGCACGGGGGCCAAGCGTGAAACCAGTGATCGCTCCAGCAAGGTAACAGGACAGCTTGGTGATCCTTCTTGCCGGCCACAAAAGGTTATAGCCAGAATTCCACCGAATGTGGTCTTTCTGTGTCTCTCCCCAGATAGTGAAGCTGCACAAACCTGGGGGTGGGGGGTGGGGGGTGCTGACCTCAGTGGGGTGTCCTGGAGAGGCAGGAACCAGGGTTTACAGGGTGCAGATCCTACTGAAGCAAATGGACGTGGCATCCGTGGGCAGAGCTGGCTGTGGCTGGCCTTCCAGCCTGGATGTCTCCCCCCCCCCGCCTGGGGTGTCACCAGATGCACCCAGAGACCCCTTCTAAACCTGGGGGGATGTGCTGACCTCAGTGGGGTTTCCTGGAGAGGCAGGAAGCTGGGTTTCCAGGGTACATATCCTACTGAAGCAAATGGATGTGGCATCCTTGGGCAGAGCTGGCTGTGGCTGGCCTTCCAGCCTGGACGTCTCCCCCACTGCCTGGGGTGTCACCAAATGCACCCAGAGACCTCTCTTCTGAAAGCCCATTCATGGGAAGCCTCCAGGTCTCCTCAGCAGGCAGCATCACGTCTGATTTCACTGCGTTATCAGGTAATGCAGGCCTGTTCTACCTGTGTGCGTGAGCGCGTGTGTGCCGTGTGGGAGTGTGTGTGTTGATGTGGGTGTGGGTGTGTGCTTGTGTGGCTGTGTGTGTGTGCCTGTTTATGTGATGATGAGTGTGTCTGTGAGTCTGTAAGACAACGTGTGTTTCCATGCGTGTTTCTGTGTGAGCGTGCATTCCTGTGTTTTATGGAAGTGTGTTTTTGTGATGGTGTTTTTGTGTGCCCCTGCGTTTATCGTATTTGTGTGTTTGTGAATATGAGTGTATGTGTGTGAATCTGTATGGCAATGTATAAATTTTTTTTTTTTTTTTTTTGAGACGGAGTCTCGCTCTGTCACCCATACTGGAGTGCAAAGGCACAATCTCAGCTCACAGCAACCTCCGCCTCCCGGGTTCAAACGATTCTTCTGCCTCAGCCTCCTGAGTACCTGGGATTACAGGCACCCACCGCCACATCTGGCTAATTTTTCTTTTTTGATACGGAGTCTCGTTCTGTCACCCAGGCTGGAGTGCAGTGGCGTGATCTTGGCTCACTGCAACCTCTGCCTCCCGGGTTCAAATGATTCTCCTGCCTCAGCCTCCTGAGTAGCTGGGATTACAGGCATAAGCCACCACATCTGGCTAATTTTTGTATTTTTGAGTAGAGATGGGGTTTCACCATGTTGGCCAGGCTGGTCTGGAACTCCCGACCTCAAGTTATCTGCCCGCCTCGGCCTCCCAAAGTTCTGGGAGTACAGGCGTGAGCCACCTTGCCCGGCCCCAGTGTGTGAACTTTTATGTTTGTGTGTCTACATGATTATGTGAGTCTTTTTGTGACTGTGTTTCCATGAGTGTGTGACTGTATTTGTGTGTTTGTGTGTGCTTGTGTGATTCTGAGTGTGTCTATGAGTGTGTATGACATATGTGAGTGTCTGTGTGGGTGAGTAGCCATCCACGTGTTTATATGAGAGTGTTTTCATGATTCTGTTTATGAGTGACTTTGTATGTATACGTGTTTGTGTGCTTTGTGAGAATGTCAATGTGCATGTGCACCCACGTGTGCAAAAAACCCACACATTTTTGTAATTGTGTTTGTGTGTGTGTCCCTGCATTTGTGTGAGTGTGCATGTCTTCGTGTGTCCATGTGTTTCTATGAGTGTGTTTTGTGATTCTGTCTGTCTTTGTGTTGATGTGTGTTTGTGTAAGTGTGTGGTTGCATTTGTGTCAGTGATTCTGGAGCAGGTGAGCTGATCACAAGTCTGAGCCGAGAATCCATGGAGCTCTTTTACAACAGAAGCCGGGACCCTGTGCAAATCCTTCTGAAATATCCCCGGTTTACAGAGCTCCTAGGGGTGGGGAAGAAAAATTCCCTGACTTTTCGGCCTCAGGGAAAGAGAGAGACACCCCGCTGGCCGTACACCTCTGCTGTTTCTCAGAAAACAGGTGGGGTATCACTCTTTCCCAAATGACGGTGATTTTAAGAACGGTTCACCTTTTGAAGAGACGTTTCTGCCCTGGCGATCCATACATATTGAACCCAAATGAATATTTTTTAATTAAAAATTTTTATATAAATATACATTGTGCATACTTTATATTAATATATTGATATAAATATATTTTATTAATATAAACATGATTTTTATAGTTCATATAAATAGTTATATATAGTGTATATGTAAAATATACTTTTATTTGTGATACATAATTTTATAGATTAAATTTTATATACTAAGCAAAGTTATATGTGATATATACATGCCATATAACATCATTTATATAATATATCTTTATGTAAATAAGTATATAATAAAATTGATCTTATATTTGTTAATACATAATTATGTATATATACTATGTAAAAATAAAATTATATATTGTATGTGCATAATATTTCTATAAATACACGCTTATGTGTGTATTTATACATGAATGCCTGTGTTTGTGTGAGTACTTCAGTGAGTGCGTGAATGTGTGTGTGTGCATGTGTGCCAGTGTTTGTGTGAGTGTAAGAGTGTTGTACATTTATACACACACATTTTGTCTTCTGGTTAATAACAAGATCTATCTTTGATTTAGGATATGAAGAATTCTTATAAGCAACCCCCCACACAAAATTTGTATTTATTTTAAAATATTCTTAAAATATGGGTTCTTTTATTTTTGCACAAACAGACAAGAGTGTTTTTTCTTTCCAAAACTTTTATTTCAAATTCTGACCCTGAGGAGCAGAAAAAGAAGAAAACATTGTGTAACCTTATATACATTAGAAACATAAGTAGTTACTAAATGCAATACAGATTTTGACAACATGCATTTAGGAAAAATGAGGAATTCAAACTCGTAGCTGCCTCAATATTGAACTTTCTAAAGTTTAATTTTTTTTAATTAAAAAATATTCATTTGGGTTCAATATGTATGGATCTCCAGGGCAGAAATGTCTCTCCAAAAAGTGAACCACTCTGAAAATCACCGTCATTTGGGAAAGGGTGATGCCCCAGCTGTCTTCTGAAAAATAGCAGAGGCTTCCGGCCAGTGGGGTGTCTCTCTCTTTCCCTGAGGCCGAAATGTCAGGGAATTTTTCTTCCCCACCCCTAGGAGCCCAGTAAATGGAGAATATTTCAGAAGGATTTGCACAGGGTCCCGGCTTCTGCTATTTATGAGCTCCATGGATTCTTGGCTCAGGCTTGTGATCAGCTCACCTGCTCCAGAATCACTTCCCATCTTAGCTTCTGGGCTAAGACACCTCAAAACCAGCAAAGGAAAGTCCTCACTGGTCAACGCGTCCATCCCAACTCCCCCATCTCCCCTTAGGGTGGGTTTGGGGTTCGGGACTGCTTTACTGTTCCTTTCAAAGCAGACTGGGAGGTAAGATTTTATTCTGCTTCCAGAGGTTCAGGATTTCTGCAGACGGTCAGCAACTCTTTGCATCCTACTGGTAAAAGTTTTATATACTTTGTATTTATAGAAATACGCATTGTGTATATTTTATATGAATAGATTGATATAAATTATTTTAGTAACTTAACCATATGACTTTTATATTTTTATATAAATAAAGTTATATGTAGTGTATATGTAAAATACTTTTATTTCTAATACATAATTTTATAGATTAAATTTAATATATTAAGCAAATACTTTTATTTCTAATACATAATTTTATAGATTAAATTTAATATATTAAGCAAAAATATATGTAACATATATAACATATAACATCATTTCTATAATATATAACTTAATGTAAATAAGTATATAAAATTGATATTATATTTGTTAATACATAATTATACATATATACTGTGTAAAAATAAAATTACATATTGTATATGCATAATTATATTTCTAAGTACAATTATATACTATGTATAATTATGTATAAAATAATTGTATAATAAAAATATAATAAATTTTGAAACGTTATAAATTATACATAGTATTTTATTGTATTAAATTTAGAAATGTGTTATATGTAATAAAATTTTATTATAATAAATGTAGATTATATAAAATCTTATTTATAATAAATTACCTTATGTATAATTATGAGAAAATAATTACATATCATTGTATTATAATAAATTTAGAGATGTTATACATTATTATATATAAAATTTCATTATATTAAATTTAGAAATATATGTAATAAAATGGTATTATGTTAAAATTTTTATGTAACATTTTATTATACATGTATAATTTTATATAATGTTTTATAATATATAGAATATAAGTACACAGAATATAAGTACAAAAATATTTATATACAGCTACACGTAATATAAATACATCAGTGTAAGATGTTTTGTGTGTGTGAGATGGAGTCTCGCTCTGTTGCCCAGGCTGGAGTGCAGCAACACGATCTCGGCTCACTGCAACCTCTGCCTCCTGGGTTCAAGCGATTCTCCTGCCTCAGCCTCCCGAGTAGCTGGGATTACAGGCATGCACCACCACACCCAATCAATTTTTGTATTTTTAGTAGAGATGGGGTTTCACTGTGTTAGCCAGGATGGTCTCAAACTCCTGACCTCAGGTGATCCACCCGCCTCGGCCTCCCAAAGTGCTGGGATTACAGGCATGAGCCACAGTGTAAGATACTAGCTATTAAAAAATAAATATATATATATACTGCAACAGCTGATTTGTCTGGAAGAGTTTGGTCAGAAGACAGTGTATTAAGAAGACTGTGAGTCCCCAGAGGAATATAAGAATATACATCATGTTGATATATTATATATAACATAAATAGCTAACTACATCTGTGTATATAGTATAAACAAAAGTACAAAAATATTTGTATATAACTATATGTAATATAAATATATCAGTGTAAGATATTAGCTATTAAAATATATATATATATAGAGAGAGAGAGAGAGAGAGAGCAACCGGTGATTTGTCTGGAATATTCTAGTCAGAAGACAGTGTATTAAGAAGACAGTGAGTCCCCAGGAGAATACAAGAATGTGCATCATGTTAATATATTATATATAACATAAATACCTAACAACATCTGTATATATAGTATAAACATAAAGTACAAAAATATTAGTATATTACTATATGTAATATAAATATATCAGTGTAAGATATTAGCTATTAAAATATACATATGTGTGTATGTATGTGTATATGTGTATATAAATATTATATATATATATAGTAACTGCTGATTTGTGTGGAAGACTTTGGTCAGAAGACAGTGTATTAAGAAGACAGTGGGTCCTCACAGGAAAATAAGAATATACATCATGTTTATATTATATATAACATAAACAACTAATTACATCTGTATATACAGCATAAACATAAAGTACAAAAATATTTGTATATAATCGTATGTAATATAAATATACCAGTGTAAGATATTAGCTATTAAAATATACATGTGTGTATGTATGTGTATATGTGTACATATAATATATATACATATATAACATATATAATATATAAGATATAACATAATATAATATATTATATATAATATGTAATATGTAACATATATTATATAATTAATATATAATATATAATATATTCTATGCTATATAATATATAATATATTCTATGCTATATAATATATAATATATTCTATGCAATAAATTATATAGCATATATATATATATAGCAACAGCTGATTTGTCTGGAAGAATTTGGTCAGAAGACAGTGTATTAAGAAGACAGTGAGTCCCCAGAGAAATATAAGAATATACATCATGTTTATATTATATATAACATAAATAGCTAACTACATCTGTATATATAGCATAAACATAAAGCACAAAATTATTTATATATAATATAAATATATCAGTGTAAGATATTAGCTATTAAAAAATATATATATATAGCAACCGGTGATTTGTCTGGAAGACTGGTCAGAAGACAGTGTATTAGGAAGACAGGCAGTCTCCGCAGGAAGCATGGTGCAGGTGGGATCTGGAGGTGACTCTGGGCTGCCAGAAGACGCCCCACTGCTTTGCGGCAGACACAGGTGGAGAGGTCCTCTCTGTAGCTTCAGCATGGACAGTGTGTGTGTCTTGCTGTGGGAACACTTCTTTCTGCTTCCCTCTCCACTGTGACCCCATCACACTCACTGACCTGCCCTCCTCCTTCCTCTCGCTCTCCGGGGCCCCTGTGGAAAGAGGGTCTTCCCTCCGTGCAGCAGGAACCCCCAGGACCATCCCCATGCTCCTGGGTTCTGAACTTCAGGGACATATGATCCTACCTGACCGGGCACAGGCTCTGTTCACCCTCAGGAACCCCTGTCCTCCCAGGCCACCGTGGACTGGAGAACTGGCCTCCTGAAAATCCAGAGAGAACTTAGCACTCACAACTTCTTTCTTTTTTTCTTTTTTCTTTGAGACTGGATCTTGCTCTTTTCCCCAGGCTGGAGTGCAATGGCATGATCTCAGCTCACTGCAACCTCCTCCTCCCAGGTTCAAGCAGTTCATCCCGCCTCTGTCTCCCGAGTATCTGGGATCACAGTCATCCACCCCCGCGGCCAACTAATTTCTGTATTTTTAGTAGAGACGGGGTTTCACCATGTTGGCCAGGCTGGTCTCGAACTCTTGACCTCAAGTGATCCACCCGCCTCGGCCTCCCAAAGTACTGGGATGACATATATTAGCATGATGTATATTCTTCTATTCCTCCGGGGACTCACTGTCTTCTTGGGCAGTAAACCACTGTGCCCGGACTTCTCTGTCCACATCTGCACACATCTAAACCTCTGTAGATTCTGAATTGTTTTTCCTTTTGCACAGAATGAGAGGAACTGAAGTCGGGAGGCCCAGCCCCAACACGGTCCCTGTGGCTCTGTGCTCAGGTGGTTTATGGCTGAGAAGGACTTGGGGGGTTGAGGGCTTCCTATCAGCCCAGGAGACATTACCTGGGTCTGGGAAGCCTGCTCTGCACTTGTGGGTCTCGAATTGTCTGTTGCATTTACCTGCCTCATTATTTTTTCTTCCTGTCTCTCTTCTTACATATTTCTTTCGAATTTGGAGCTTGTTTTTCTTAACTACAATCAACTTGAATCATTACTGCATATATAAATATAAATTTTATATTGAGTAGACATTATATACTCAATCTACTACACATTCGAACACGGGCCATATCTAAGATGAATATTTATATTTAATGTTTAAAACATGTTTACATTTCATATAGAAAAATATATTTATATTTAATATATATGTGTATATTTAATACAGGAAATATATATTTATATTTAACATATAAAAATATATGTTTATATTTAATATGGGAAATATATGTCTTTGTTTAATATACATAATACATGTTGATATTTAATATAGAAAATGTATAGTTATATTTACTATGCAAAATACATGTTTATATTTAATATAGAAAATATGTTTATATTTAATGTACAGGATACATATTTACATTTAATATAGAAAATACATATTTATATTTAACATACACAGTATTTATATTTAATGTATAAAATATGTTTACATTTAATGTGCTGAATATATGCTTATATTTAATGTCTAAAATGTCTATATTTAATGTACTGTATACATTAAATGTACCAAATGTATTCTTATATTTAATGTATAAAAGAAGTTTATATTTAACATATAAGATATGTTTACATTTAATGTATAAAATGTTTATGTTTGATGTATAAAAGATGTTTATATTTAACGTATACAATTTATATTTAATGTACCAAATATATTATTATATTTAATGTCCAAGCCAGCCAAGCCAGTCAGCCAAGCCAGCTAAGCCACCCACCCAGCCAAGCCAGCCAAGTGAGCCAGCTAGCCAGCCAGCCAAGCCAGCCAAACCAGCCAAGCCAGCCAGCCAGCCAAGCCAGCCAAGCCTGCCAGCCAGCCAAGCCAGCCAAGCAAGCCAGCCAGCCAAGCCAGCCAGCCAGCCCAGGAGCCCCAGCCAGCCAGCCAATCCAAACAGCCAAGCCAGCCAAGCCAGCAAGCCAGCCAAGCAAGCCAAGCCTGCCAGCCAGCCAAGCCAGCCAAGCAAGCCAGCCAGCCAAGCCAGCCAGCCAGCCCAGGAGCCCCAGCCAGCCAGCCAACCCAAACAGCCAAGCCAGCCAAGCCAGCCAGCCAGCCAAGCCAGCCAAGCCAGCCAGCCAGCCAAGCCAGCCAAGGCAGCCAAGCCAGCCAAGCCGGCCAGGCAGCCAAGCAAGCCAAGCCAGCCAGCCAGACAAGGCAGCCAAGCCAGCAGGCCAAGCGAGCCAAGCCAAGCCAGCCAAGCCAGCCAGTTAGCCAGCCAAGCCAGCCAAGCCAGCCAGCCAGCCAAGCCAGCCCAGCCAGCCAGCCAGCCAGCCGAGCCGGCCAAGCCAGACAGTGAGCCCAGCCAGCCCAGCCAGTCAGCCAGCCAAACCAGCCAGCCAGCCAAGCCGGCCAGCCACCCAGCAAAGCCAGCCAAGAGACCCAAGCCAGCCAGCAAAGCTGGCCAAACCAGCCAAGCCAGTCAGCCAAGCCAGCCAAGCCAGCCAAGCCGCCCAGCCAAGCCGCCCAGCCAGCCAAGCCAGCCAAGCCGCCCAGCTAACCAGGCCAGCCACCCAGCCAGTGAGCCAAGCCAGCCAAGCCAGCCAGGCAGCCAAGCCAGCCAAGCCAGCCAAGCCAGCCAGCCAGCCAGCCAAGCCAGGCATGCCAGCCAAGCCATCCAGTCAGCGACGCCAGCCAGCCAGCCAAACCAGCCAAGCCACCCAGCCAGCCAAGCCACCCAGCCAGCCAAGCCAGCCAAGCCAGCCAAGCCCGCCAACCAGCCAAGACAGGCATGCTAGCCAAGCCAGCCAGGCAGCCAAGCCAGCCAGGCAGCCAAGCCAGCCAAGCCAGCCAGCAAGCAAAGCCAGGCATGTCAGCCAAGCCAGCCAGGCAGCCAAGCCAGCCAAGCCAGCCAGCCAGCCAAGCCAGGCATGCCAGCCAAGCCATCCAGCCAACTAAGCCAGCCGGCTAGCCAAGCCAGCCAAGCCACCCAGCCAGCCAAGATGGCCAAGCCACCCAGTCAAGCCAGCTAAGCCAGCCAGGCAGCCAAGCCAGCGAAGACACCCAGCCAGCCAAGCAAGCCAAGCCACCCAGCCAGCCAAGCCTGCCAAGAGACCCAGCAACCCAAGCCAGCCAAGACACCCAGCCAGCCAAGCTAGCCAAGACACCCAGCCAGCGAAGCCAGCCAGCCAGCCAGCCAGCCAAGCCTGCCAAGCCACCCAGCCAGCCAAGCCAGGCAAACAACCCAGCCAGCCAAGCCAGTCAAGCCAGCCAGCCAGCCAAGCCGGCCAAGCCACCCAGCCAGCCAAGCTGGCCAAGCCACTCAGCCAGCCAAGCCAGCCAGCCAGCCAAACCGGCCAAGCCACTCAGCCAGCCAAGATGGCCAAGCCACCCAGTCAAGCCAGCTAAGCCAGCCAGACAGCCAAGCCAGCCAAGCCAGCCAAGACCTCTAGCCAGCCAAGAAAGGCATGCCAGCCAAGCCAGCCAACCAGCCAGACAGCCCAGCCAGACAGCCAGCCCAGGCAGCCAAGAGACCCAAGCCAGCCAGCGAAGCTGGCCAACCCAGCCAAGCCAGTCAGCCAAGCCAGCCAAGCCGGCCACCCAGCCAAGCCAGCCAAGCCAGCCAACCAGCCAGACAGCACAGCCAGACAGCCAGCCCAAGCAGCCAAACCAGACAAGCCAGCCAGCCAAGCCAGCCAAGCCAGCCAAGCCAGCCAGCCAGCCAAGACAGCCAAGCCAGTCAAGCCAGGCAAGCCAGCGAGCCAGCCAAGCCAGTCAACCCAGCCAGCCAAGCCAGCCAAGACAGCCAGCCAGCCAAGCCGGCCAAGCCAGACAGCCAAGCAAGCCATGGAAGCCAGACAGCCAGCCAGCCAAGCCAGTCAAGCCAGCCAGCCAGCCAAACCAGCCAAGCCAGCCAACCCAGCCAGCCAAGCCAGCCAAGCCAGCCAAGCCAGTCAGCCAGAAAAGCCAGCCAAGCCTGCCAGCCAGTCAAGCCAGCCAAGCCAGCCAGCCAGCCAAGCCAGCGAAGACACCCAGCCAGCCAAGCAAGCCAAGCCACCCAGCCAGCCAAGCAGCCTGCCAAGAGACCCAGCAACCCAAGCCAGCCAAGACACCCAGCCAGCCAAGCTAGCCAAGACACCCAGCCAGCGAAGCCAGCCAGCCAGCCAGCCAGCCAAGCCTGCCAAGCCACCCAGCCAGCCAAGCCAGGCAAACAACCCAGCCAGCCAAGCCAGCCAAGCCAGCCAAGCCAGCCAGCCACCCAGCCAGCCAAGCCAGCCAAGCCTCCCAGCCAGCCAAGCCAGCCAAGCCACCCAGCCAGCCAAGACAGCCAAGCCACACAGCCAGCCAAGCTGGCCAAGCCACTCAGCCAGCCAAGCCAGCCAGCCAGCCAAGCCGGCCAAGCCACTCAGCCAGCAGCCAAGCTGCCCAAGCCACTCAGCCAGCCAAGCCAGCCAGCCAGCCAAGCCGGCCAAGCCACTCAGCCAGCCAAGATGGCCAAGCCACCCAGTCAAGCCAGCCAAGCCAGCAAGCCAGCCAAGCCAGGCATGCCAGCCAAGCCATCCAGCCAGCTAAGCCAGCCGGCTAGCCAAGCCAGCCAAGCCACCCGGCCAGCCAAGCCAGCCAGCCAAGCCAGCCAAGCCAGCCAACCAGTCAAGCCAGTCAGCTAGCCAAGCCAGCCAAGCCACCCGGCCAGCCAAGCCAGCCAGCCAACCCAGCCAAACCAGCCAACCAGCCAAGACAGTCAGCTAGCCAAGCCAGCCAACCAGCCAGCCAGTCAAGCCGGCCAGCCTGCCAGCCAACCAAGCCGGCCAGACAGCCAAGGCAGCCAAGCCAGCCAAGCCACCGACCCAGCCAAGCCACCCAGCAAGCCAAGACAGCCAAGCCAGCCAAAACAGCCTGCCAGCCAAGCCAGCCAAGACATCCAGCCTGCCAAGCCAGCTGGCCAGCCAAGCTAGCCAATCCACTCACCCACTCAAGCCAGCCAAGTCACCCGGCCAGCCAAGCCAGCCAAGCCAGCCAGCCAGCCCAGACAGCCAAGCCAGCCAGCCCAGACAGCCAAGCCAGCCAGCCAGCCAAGCCAGCCGAGCCAGCCAAGCCACACAGCCAGCCAAGCCACCCAGCCAGCCAAGACAGCCAGCAAGCCAGCCAGACAGCCAAGCCAGCCAGCCACCCAGCCAGCCAGGCCGGCCAGCCACCCAGCCAGCCAGGCCAGCCAGCCATCCAGCCAGCCAGGTCAGCCTGCCACCCAGCCAGCCAAGACAGACAAGCCAGCCAAGCCAGCCAGCCACCCAGCCAGCCAGGCCAGCCAGCCACGCAGTCAGCCCAGACAGCCAAGTCAGCCAGCCAGCCAAGGCAGCCAAGCCAGCCAACCAAACAAGAGAGCCAGCCAACCAAGCCAGCCAAGCCAGCCAGCTAGCCAAGCCACCCAGCCAGCCAGCCAGCCAAACCAGCCAAGCCACCCAGCCAGCCAAGCCAGCCAAGCCAATCAGCCAGCCAGGCAGCCAGCCACCCAAGCCAGCCAAGCCAGCCAAGCCATCCAAGTCAGCCAGCCAGCCAGCCAGCCAAGCCAGCCAAGCCTCCCAGCCAGCCAAGCCAGCCAAGCCACCAAGCCAGCCAAGCCAGCCAAGCCACCTAGCCAGCCAGGCCCGCCAGCCAGCCAGCCAGCTAGCCAAGCCAGCCAAGCCAGCCACCCTGCCAAGCCAGCCGGCCAGCCAAGCTAGGCAATCCACTCAGCCACTCAAGCCAGCCAAGTCACCCGACCATCCAAGCCAGCCAAGCCAGTCAGCCAGCCCAGACAGCCAAGCCAGCCAAGCCAGCCAAGCCAGCCAAGCCCGCCAACCAGCCAAGACAGGCATGCTAGCCAAGCCAGCCAGGCAGCCAAGCCAGCCAAGCCAGCCAGCAAGCAAAGCCAGGCATGTCAGCCAAGCCAGCCAGGCAGCCAAGCCAGCCAAGCCAGCCAGCCAGCCAAGCCAGGCATGCCAGCCAAGCCATCCAGCCAACTAAGCCAGCCGGCTAGCCAAGCCAGCCAAGCCACCCAGCCAGCCAAGCCAGCCAGCCAAGCCAGCCAAGCCAGACAAGCCAGCCAACCAGCCAAGCCAGCCAGCTAGCCAAGCTACCTAGCCAGCCAGCCAGCCAAACCAGCCAAGCCACCCAGCCAGCCAAGCCACCCAGCCAGCCAAGCCAGCCAAGCCAATCAGCCAGCCAGGCAGCCAGCCACCCAAGCCAGCCAAGCCAGCCAAGCCAGCCAAGCCAGCCAGCCACCCAGCCAGCCAAGCCAGCCAAGCCTCCCAGCCAGCCAAGCCAGCCAAGCCACCCAGCCAGCCAAGCCAGCCAAGCCACCCGGCCATCCAAGCCAGCCAAGCCAGTCAGCCAGCCCAGACAGCCAAGCCAGCCAAGCCAGCCAAGCCTGCCAACCAGCCAAGAAAGGCATGCTAGCCAAGCCAGCCAGGCAGCCAGGCCAGCCAGGCAGCGAAGCCAGCCAAGCCAGCCAGCAAGCAAAGCCAGGCATGCCAGCCAAGCCAGCCAACCAGCCCAGCCAGCCAGCTAGCCAAGCCACCCAGCCAGCCAGCCAGCCAAACCAGCCAAGCCACCCAGCCAGCCAAGCCACCCAGCCAGCCACGCCAGCCAAGCCAATCAGCCAGCCAGGCAGCCAGCCACCCAGCCAGCCAAGCAGGCCAAGCCACCTAGCCAGCCAGGCCCGCCAGCCAGCCAGCCAGGCAGCCAAGCCAGCCAAGCCAGTCAAGCCCGACAGCCAGCCAAGACAGGCATGCCAGCCAAGCCAGCCAGGCAGCCAAGCCAGCCAAGCCAGCCAGCCAGCCAAGCCAGGCATGCCAGCCAAGCCATCCAGCCAACTAAGCCAGCCGGCTAGCCAAGCCAGCCAAGCCACCCGGCCGGCCAAGCCAGCCAAGCCGGCCAAACCAGCCAACCAGCCAAGCCAGCCAGCCATCCAAGCCAGCCAAGACAGCCAGCCAGCCAAGCCAGTCAAGCCAGCCATACAGCCAAGCCAGCCAAGCCAGGCAAGCCACCCAGCCAGCCAAGCCATCTAGCCATCAAGCCAGTCAGGCCAGCCAGCCAGCCTGCCAAGCCGGCCACCCACCAAGCCAGCCAGCCATCCACGCCCGCCAAGCCAGTTAGCCAGCCAGCCAAGCCACCCAGCCAGCCAAGCCAGCCAAGCCACACAGCCAGCCAAGCCACCCAGCCAGCCAAGACAGCCAAGCCACACAGCCAGCCAAGCCATCCAGCCAGCCAAGACAGCCAAGCCAGCCAAGCCATCCAGCCAGCCACGCAAGCCAAGCCAGCCAGCCAGCCAAGCAATCCATGCCAGCCAAGCCATCCAGCCAGCCAAGCGAGGCGTCCGGCCAAGCCACCCCACCAGCCAAGCCAGCCAGCCAGCCAGCCAGCCAGCCAAGCCACCCAGCCAACTAAGCCAGCCAAGCCACCCAGCCAGGCATGCCAGCCAAGCCACCCAGCCAGCCAAGCCTGTCAGCCAGCGAACCAGCCAAGCCAGCCATGCCAGCCAGCCAGCCAAGCCATACAAGCCAGCCAGCCAGCCATGCCAGGACGAGACTCCATCTCAAAAAAAATAAAAAAAAAGACAGCCTGGCCAACATGGAGAAACCCTGTCTCTACTGAATGTATAAAAAATTATCTAGGCGTGGTGGCACATTCCCGTAATCCCAGCTACTCGGGAGGCCCAGGCAGGAGGATCGCTTTAACCAGGGAGGTGGAGGTTGAAGCGAACCAAGATTGCACCACCTCATTCCAGCCTGGGCAACAGGGTGAGACTCAATCTCAGAAAAAAAAAAGAAAAAAAAAAAGGCCAGCCTGGCCAACATGGTGAAACCCCATCTCTACTAAATATAAAAAGAAATTAGCTGGGCGTGGTGGCACATGAATGTAATCCCAGCTACTCGGGAGGCCCAGGCAGGAGGATCGCTTGAACCCTGGGGGTGGAGGCTACAGCGAGCCAAGATTGCACCACTGCACTCCAGCCTGGGCAACAGGGCGAGACTCCATCTCAGAAAAAATAAAATAAGATATACCAGCCTGGCCAACACGGTGAAACCCCATCTCTACAAAATATACAAAAAAATTAGCTGGGCGTGCTGGCACACGTCTGTAATCCCAGCTACTCGGGAGGCCCAGGAAGGAGGATCGCTTGAATCAGGGAGGTGAAGGCTGCAGCGAGCCAAGATTGCACCACTGCACTCCAGCCTGGGCAACAGAGTGAGACTCCATCTGAAAAAACAGAAACATTCCAGCCTGGCCAATAGAGCGAGACTCCATCTCAAAAAAAAAAAACAACAAAAAAAACACCAGCCTGGCCAACATGGTGAAACCCCGTCTCTTCTAAATATACAAAAAAAATAGGGCCGGGCGTGGTGGCTCATGCCTGTAATCCCAGCACCTTGGGAGGCCGAGGTGGGTGGATCACGAGGTCACGAGATCGAGACCAGCCTGACCAACATGGTGAAACCCCGTCTCTACTAAAAATAGAAAAATTAGCTGGGTGTGGTGGCACATGCCTGTAATCCCTGCTACTCGGGAGGCTGAGGCAGGAGAATTGCTTGAACCTGGGAAGCGGAGGTTGCAGTGAGCCGAGATGGCGCCACTATACTCCACGGTGGTGTCAGAGCGATACTACATCTCAAAAAAAAAAAAAAATTAGCTGGGTTTGGTGGCACACACCTGTAATACCAGGTACTCGGGAGGCCCAGACAGGATGATCACTTGAACCCGGGAGGGGGTGGTTGCCGTGAACTAAGATTGTAGTACTGCACTCCAGCCTGGGCAACAGGGCGAGACTCCATCTCAGGAAAAAAAAAAAAAAAAGACCAGCCTGGCCAACATGGTGAAACCCCGTCTCTAGTAAATATACAAAGAAATTAGCTGGGCGTGGTGGCACATGAATGTAATCCCAGCTACCCAGGAGGCCCAGGCAGGAGGATCGCTTGAACCTGGGAGGTGGAGGCTGCCGCGAGCCAAGATTGCACCACTGCACTCCAACCTGGGCAAAAAAGTGAGACTCCATCCGAAAAAAAATAAGAACTCCAGCCTGGGCAATAGAGCGAGACTCCAACTCAAAAAAAAAAAAAAAAAAAAAAAAAAAGACCAGGTTGGCCAACATGTTGAAATCCCGTCTCTACTAAATATACAAAAAAAATTAGCTGGACGTGGTGGCACAGGCCTCTAATCCCAGCTACTGGGGAGGCCCAGGCAGGAGGATCACTTGAACCTGGGAGGTGGAGGCTGCAGCGAGCCAAGATTGCACCACTGCACTCTGGCCTGGGCAACAGAGTGAGAGTCCATCTGAAAAAAAAGAAGCACTCCAGTCTGGTCAACAGAGCGAGACTCCATCTCAGAAAAAAAAAAAAAAAAAAAAAAAAGACCAGGTTGGCCGACGTGGTGAAACCCCGTCTCTACTAAATACACAAAAAAATTAGCTGGGCGTGGTGGCACACGCCTGTAATCCCAGCTACTCGAGAGGCCCAGGCAGGAGGATCGCTTGAACACAGGAGGTGGAGGTTGCAACGAACCAAGATTGCACCACTGCACTCCAGCCTGGGCAAGAAAGTGAGATTCCATCTGAAAAAAAAGCACTCCAGCCTGGGCAATATAGCAAGGCTCCATCTCAAAAAAAAGAAAAAAAAAAAAGACCAGCCTGTCCAACACGGTGAAACCCCGTCAGTACTAAATATACAAAGAAATTAGCTGAGCGTGGTGGCACACGATTGTAATCCCAGCTACTCGGGAGGCCCAGGCAGGAGGATCGCTTGAACCCGGGAGGTAGAGGTTGCAGCCAGCCAAGATTGCACCACTGCACTGAACCCTGGACAACAGAGTGACACTCCATCTGAAAAAAAAGAAGAACTCCAACCAGGGCAATGGAGCGAGACTCCATCTCAGAAAAAAGAAAAAAAAAAGAGCACCTTGGCCAACATGGTGAAACCCCCTCAGTACTAAATACACAAAGAAATTAGCTGAGCATGGTAGCACACGAATGTAATCCCAGCTACTCGGGAGGCCCAGGCAGGAGGATCGTTTGAACCCGGGAGGTGGAGGTTGCAGCGAACAAAGATTGCACCACTGCACTCCAGCCTGGGCAACAGAGCGAGACTCCCACTCAGAAAAAAAAGAAAATGAAAAAAACACCAGCCTGGCCAACATGGTGAAACAACGTCTCCACTAAATATACAAAAAAAATAGATGGGCGTGGTGGCACTCATCTCTAATCCCAGCTACTCGGGAGGCCAACGCAGGAGGATCACTTGAACACAGGAGGTGGAGGCTGCAGCTAGCCAAGTTTGCACCATTGCACTCCAGCCTGGCAAACCAAGCCAGCCAAGCCAGCCAGCCAAGCCAGTCAAGCGACCCAGCCAGCCAGCCAGCCAGCTAAGCCACCCAACCAGCCAGCCTGCCAAGCCAGCCAAGCCAGCCAGCCAGCCAGCCAGCCAAGCCAGCCAAGCCAGCCAAGTCAGCCAAGCCAGCTAGCCAGCCAAGTCAGCCAAGCCAGCTAGCCAGCTAGCCAGCCAAGTCAGCCAAGCCAGCTAGCCAGCCAAGCCAGCCAAGCCAGCCAGCCAGCCAGCCAGCAAAGCCACTCAGCCAGCCAGGCAGCCAAGCCAGCCAAGACAGCCAGCCAGCCAGCCAGCCAAGCCAGCCAAGCCAGCCAGCCAGCCAAGCCAGTGAAGCCACAAAGCCAGCCAAGCCAGCCAAGCCAGCCAAGCCAGCCAGCCAACCAGCCAGCCAAGCCAGCCAAGCCTCCCAGCCAGCCAAGCCAGCCAAGCCAGCCAGGCCCGCCAGCCAGCCAAGACAGGCATGCCAGCCAAGCCAGCCAGGCAGCCAAACCAGCCAAGCCAGCCAGGCCCGCCAGCCAGCCAAGACAGGCATGCCAGCCAAGCCAGCCAGGCAGCCAAGTCAGCCAAGCCAGCCAGCAAGCAAAGCCAGGCATGCCAGCCAAGCCAGCCAGGCAGCCAAGCCAGCAAAACTAGCCAGCCAACCAAGCCAGGCATGCCAGCCAAGCCATCCAGCTAGCTAAGCCAGCCGGCTAGCCAAGCCAGACAAGCCACCCGGCCATCCAACCAGCCAGCCAAGCCAGCCAAGCCAGCCAACCAGCAAAGCCAGTCAGCTAGCCAAGCCAGCCAACCAGCCAGCCAGCTAAGCCGGCCAGCCTGCCAGCCAACCAAGCCGGCCAGACAGCCAAGGCAGCCACGCCGGCCAGGCAGCCAAGCCAGCCAAGCCACCGACCCAGCCAAGCCAGCCAAGCCACCCAGACAGCCCAGACAGCCAAGCCAGGCAGCCAGCCAAGCCAGCCAGCCAGCAAAGCCAGGCAGCCAGCCAAGCCAGTCAAGCCAGACAGCCAGTCAAGCCAGACAGCCAGCCAAGCGAGCCAAGCCAGCCAGCCAGCCAAACCAGCCAAGCCAGCCAGCCAGCCAGCCAGCCACGCCAGCCAGCCACCCAGCCAGCCAGCCAGCCAGGCCAGCCTGCCACCCAGCCAGCCAAGCCAGCAAGCCTGCAAAGCCAGTCAGCCACCCAGCCAGCCAGGCCAGCCAGCCACCCAGTCAGCCAAGCCATCCAAGCCAGCCAGCCAGCACAGACAGCCAAGCCAGCCACCCAGTCAGCCAAGCCATCCAAGAGAGCCAGCCAGCCCAGACAGCCAAGCTAGCCAGCCAGCCAGGCAAGCCAGCCAAGCAAGCCAGCAAGCCAGCCAGCCAAGCCAGCCAGCCAAACCAGCCAAGCCACCCAGCCAGCCAAGCCACCCAAGACACCCAGCCAGCCAGCCAGCCAAGCCAGCCAAGCCACCCAGCCAGCCAAGCCGGCCAAGCAAGCCAGCCAAGCCAGCCAAGCCAGCCAAGCCTGCAAAGCCAGCCAGCCAGCAAAGCCAGCCAAGTCAGCCTGCCAAGCCAGCCAAGACATCCAGCAAGCCAAGCCAGCCAAGCCAGCTAGCCAAGCCAGCCAAGCCAGCCAAGCCCGCCAAGCCAGCCAAGCCAGCCAAGGCAGCCAAGCCAGTCAGCCAGCCAAGCTAGCCAAGCCAGGCAGCCATCCAAGCCAGCCAGCCATCCAAGCCAATGAAGCCAGCCAGCCAGCCAAGCCACCCAAGCCAGCCAAGCCAGCCAACTCAGCCAGCCAGCCAAGCCAGCCAAGCCAGCCAGCCAGTCAATCCAGCCAAGCCAGCCAGCCAACCAAGCCAGCTAAACCAGCCAGCCAGTCAATCCAGCCAAGCCAGCCAGCCAACCAAGCCAGCTAAACCAGCCAGCCTGCCAAGCCAGCCAAGCCAGCCAGCCAGCCAGGCCAGCCAGCCAGCCCAGCAAGCCAAGCCAGCCAGCCACCCAGCCACCCAAGACAGCTAAACCAGCCAGCCTGCCAAGCCAGCCAAGCCAGCCAGCCAGCCAGGCCAGCCAAGCCAGCCAAGCCATTCAAGCCAGCCAGCCAGCCCAGCCAGCCAAGCCAGCCAGCCAGCCCAGCCAGCCCAGCCAGCCCAGCCAGCCAGCCAACCCAGCCACCGCTGCCAGCCCAGCCAGCCACACAAGCCAGCCAAGTCAGCCAGCCAGCCAAGCCAGCTGGAAAGAGAGAGAGAGAAAAGGGAAGGAAGGAAGGAAGGAAGGAAGGAAGGAAGGAAGGAAGGAGGAAGGAAGGAAGGAAGGGGAGAGAGAAAGAGAGAGATTGGGAGAGAGAGAGAGTGAGAGAGAGAGAAAGAAAGGAAAGGAAGGAAGGAAGGAAGGAAAGAAAGAAAGAGAGAAAGAAAGAAGGAGAGAGAGAAAGAAAGCAGGAAGTAAGGAAGGAAGGAGAGAAAGAAAGGAAGAAAGAAGGAAGGAAGGAGAGAGAGAAAGAAAGAAGAAAGAAAGAGAAAAAAGAAGGAAGGAAGGAGAGAGAGAAAGAAAGGAAGACAGAAGGAAGGAGAGACAGGGAAAGAAAGGAAGAAAGAAGAAAGAAAGATAAAGAAAGAAAGAGGAGCAAATGTACACTGCTCAGGAATCTCCTTTTCCTGTGGCCGGGGCAAGATTGTTTGCATTTTTCTCTGTAAGGAAAAAACAAAACCACACACACACACTACACACACACAGCAATAAGCTTTCATCCAGCCGGCACAAGACAGTTTCCTAGAGAATCTGTACACAGTCATGATGCTGGAGTCTCAATTTCAGATTGGGTTAAAGTGCCCTGCAAACCAGCATTTGCAGAGGCCATGGGAGAGGTTACTGGGGAATTAAGAGCTGCAGAGATGAGGGTCTCCGGCCGTCACCTTTGCAGCTGCAGGAGAGAGGAGGTGATTAGGGAATCTCCGTGTTCCCTTCTGAGCCTGGCAGGTGTGTTGTCCCCACCCTGTCTCCAGCACCGCACAGTTCATTGCAATGCAAGCCCTGCTTTCGGGTTTAGCAAAGGTAACTCCCCCTGGCACCCCCAGGCTTCTGCTTCCAGCACAGCGACTGCGACGTGGTGTTTGCTCCTCGGTCCTCATACAGAATTTGCCCACCTCAACTCAATCTTCCTCTCCCGGCGGTACCATTAATATTTTAATTTAATCAGAATTTCTGGGACTGGCTTGCCATCCTGAACAACCTAGTTACCTGTCAGCCTCTATCAGCTTGTCATATTAGAGAGGATTGTCCTGGGAATCTAATCTGCCTTAAATGATTTCATGGGGTGTTGGTCTATAAATCATCTCGACGCAAGCCTGACAACGTGAAGGCTTCAGTGGGTAAACAAACCACACTTGTTTTATTTTCAGCAGGCACAGACTTTGCTTTATCAACTTCTTATTGATTTTCGTGCTCCAAGAGGTCAAAAAAATGTTTTTGCTTCTCCTTTACATACAAAAACATTATTCGTAGAAGAGCTGTGGGCAGGCAACTCTCATTAACATAAGTTCTGAGATTTGCAGGTGAGCTGGCTGGTTGGAGAAACGACACACACCTGTTTCAGCCAAGCCCCTGGTGGAGTTTGGAGTTTCCAAAATGTTGACTTTTCCTCTTTCTGGTCAAAATAGAAATTATATGGATATTAAGGAGCCCCAAGTGTCTTCAGGGATGTTGAGGAACCCTGGACATACAAATACACACACACACACACACACACACACACACACACACACGTACACACACTCACCACCCCATGCCAAGAAGATACACAAAAAACTCACTCACGTTTCACTTCAGTTTGCAAATTTGGAGCTGACTTAATGAAGGAAAGAAAAATTGGAGCTACAAAGTAACACAGAGCCAATGAAAAGACAAAAAACACCATTAGATTTTCTTCTTTTCTAAAGTTTTATTTTATTTTTAAGAGTCAACGTTCGGATCAGGCGCAGTGGCTCACGCTTGTAATCCCAGCGCTTTGGGAGGCTGAGGTGGGAGAATCACAAGGCCAGAAGTTCAAGACCAGTCTGGGCAACATAGCAAGATCCCATCTCTTAAAAAAAAAGTACAAAAGTTAGCTGGACCTACTGGTGCAGACCTGTATTTCCAGCTACTGGGGAGGCTGAGGTGGAAGGATGGTTTGAGTCCAGGAGGTTAAGGCTGCACTGAGCCATGATTGCATCACTGCACACTCCAGCTTAGGCAACAGAGCAAGACCCTGTCTCAAGAAAAAAAACTCCATAATGATTGTACACATTTATGACATATACTGTTTCCAAGCACGTGTATATCATGTAATGACACCTCATGGTAATTATCAGATCCAGCTGCTCAGAAATCTCATTTTCCGGTGGCTGGGGAATACGCATTTTTTTTTTTTTTTTTTTGAGACAGAGTTTCGCTCTTGTCACCCGGGCTGGAGTGCAATGGAATGATCTTGGCTCACTGCAAACTCCGCCTCCCGGGTTCAAGCGACTCTCCTGCCTCAGCCTCCCCAGTAGCTGGGATTACAGGCATGTGCCACCACGCCTGGTTCATTTTGTATTTTCAGTAGAGACTGGGTTTCATCGTGCTGGCCAGGCTGGTCTCGAACTCCTGACCTCAAGTGATCCACCCACCTCAGCCTCCCAAAGTGCTGGGATTACAGGCGTGAGCCACCGAGCCTGGCCAACCCTCTCCTCTTTCAGGGGCTTAAATAAAATTTGCTTTTCTCCCCAAAGGCGGGTCCCCACCCCATTCAGCCCAGTTTCAAAGGGTGGAGTGTAAACGGTGGGTTGCCCAATTCCTGCTGCCGTGAAGTACTTCAGCTTACAGCGGAAAGCCGGGTGCAGACACCATGCTTTATTTCTATTTCCACGAACAAGAAGCGTCTCTTGCAGTCTGCAATATTTGTCGTCAAAAATTTCACTGGCTGTTGTATCAAATCAGCCACCTCTATAGGGTGTGATCATTGACAATTTTTTGTTACATCCCGATGGTTGTTTTACCTGGACCGTTTTCTTCCTTTCATGGGTGAAGCAAAACTCCTTGGTGGACTTTTTTTTTTTTTTTTTTTTTTTTTTGAGACAGAGTCTTGCTCTGTCGCTCTGTTGCCCAGGCTGGAGTGCAGTGGTGCGATCTCGACTCACTGCAACCTCCGCCTCCCGGGTTCACACCATTCTCCTGCCTCAGCCTCCCCAGTAGCTCGGACTACAGGCACCCACCACCATGTCCACCTAATTTTTTGTATTTTTAGTAGAGACAGGGTTTCACCGTTTTAGCCAGGATGGTCTCGTATCCTGACCTCGTGATCCGCCCGCCTCGGCCTCCCAAAGTTCTGGGATTACACGTGTGAGCCACCGCACCAGGCCAATGTGATGATTATCTATGGATATACCCTGATCATCAGCAGGAGGAAATGAAGAGGTATTGGTTAAAAATACAAAGTTGCAGTTACGCAGGATGAATAAGTACTAATTTGTAACAATTCAGTATGAAACAGTGTGACCATGGTTAACAAGGCTCTGCTCTATGCCTGACATCTGAGAACAGAGGAATTGAAGTCTGAACTTTGTCCAGAAGAGGATGGCTTTGCAGGCTTTGCTGAGCATGCTGAATTCACGGTTTCCGGGTCAGCCCCTGGGCTGCCCAGGGACAGGGTGGAAACCCTGCCCCAGAAAGTCCAGGAGCCAGGAACCTGCTTAGAGACACATTTCAACAAGGAAAACCACACTCAGGCCGGCCTCCTTAAAAACACATAGGCCCGGCGTGGTGGCTCAAGCCTGTAATTCCAGCACTTTGGGAGGCTGAGGCAGGTGGATTGCCTGAGTTCAGGAGTTCGAGGCTGCAGTGAGCTATGATTGCACTCCAGCCTGGGCAACAGAGTGAGACCCTGTCTCAAAGAAATAAACAAATAAATGAATAAGCAAGCAAGCAATTTTTAAGTTGAACATCAGTTCTCTACTTGACTCTAGAGTTAAATAGGCATCCAGTTGCTTTTTGTGTTTATTTTTATATTCACTGCTTTTGCCTGCAACTGTGTTTCTGGTTCTAAGTAAATATAACGTATGCTACTGGTACACATACATCTTAGGCAACATATGTTTCATTCACTGGATTGTTAGCTCTGTTTTGTTTTGTCACTACTTTAGTCCCAGTACCAATAACTGTGCCAGGCACAAAGTAGGTGTTTAGCTAATATTGTTAAATGAAGAAATACAAATATTTGATTTTATCACTTGAATCCTCATTTATTAGTACTGCACTATCTTTTCTTAGCTGTTTTTGTGAACATATGTGTGCTGCTTTTTTACCCTAACTAGATTGGAAGTACATTGTGGGTAGAAACTTGGTTTTATTTGTTTTTCCTATATTCTCCTTTACAGCAGTTTAGACCTGATGGGAAGTAGGTATTTCCCAAACACGTGATTGAACTGAAATACATTGGTAGATTTCATTTTATCAGGAGTCTGCCAAAAGTATAGTCATAAATAAGGAATTTGGAAGAGAATCAAAAAGCTAGTATGTACTCATCTGTCAGCTTGAAGGCCTGTATAAGACTCCATACTTCTGTGGAGTAAAAAGGGTAGGGTTCTGGGGCTGGACGCGGTAGCTCACACCTGTAATCCCAACACTTTGGGGAAAAAAAGAGGGTTCTGGGACTATTCTTTGCTGCTTCTTCTTTTTTTTTTTTGAGACAGTTTTGCTCTGTCATTCAGGCTGGAGTGCAGTGGCATGATTTCGACTCACCACAACCTCTACCTCAGGTTCAAGCAGTTCTCCTGCCTGAGCCTCCTGAGTAGCTGGGATTACAGGTGCTTGCGACCACACCTGGCTAATTTTTTTATATTTTTAGTAGAGATGGGGGTTTTACCATGTTGGCCAGGCTGGTTAAGAACTCCTGACCTCAAGTGATGCGCCCATCTCGGCCTCCCAAAGTGCTAGGATTACAGGCGTGAGCCACTGCGCCCGGCCTCTGGGACTGTTCTTTTCCTTGCTCCTTAACAGACTATTTCCTGCTTTTTGTTTTGTTTTGTTTTGCTTTGCTTTGTTTTTTGTTTTTGGCCTTCTAACTGTGTTACAAATGGTTTAAGTCAGTGGTTCTCCAAGGGTGGTCCCAGATCAGCAGCATTATCACCTGGGTACTTACTAGAAATGCAAATTCTTGGGCCCCACTCCAGACCTACTGAATGAGCAACTCTGAGGGTAGAACCTAAAAAATTGTGTTTTAACAAGTCATCTGGGTGACTCTGATGGTAAAGTTTGATGTCACCAAATGATAATGATGCTTTTTTTTTTTAATTGAGATGGAGTCTTGCTCTGTCGCCCAGTCTGGAGTGCAGTGGCATGATCTTGGTTTACTGCAACTTCCACCTCCCAGGTTCAAGCAATTCTCCTGTCTCAGCCTCCTGAGTAGCTGGGACTACAGGCACACGCCACCATGTCTGGCTAATTTTTGTATTTTTAGTAGAGATGGGGTTTCATGATACTGGTCAGGCTGGTCTCAAACTCCTGACCTCAGGTGATCCACCTGTCTCGGTCTCCCAAAATGCTGGGATTACAGGCATGAACCACTGTGCCTAGCCTGATAAAGACACTGTCTTTAAGAGAGAGGGCTAGAGGCAGTGATTATGTGCCAGAGAAAACTAGCAGCCTAGATTTAAGAGGATAATATAATCCAAAGCTTTTCAGAGGGAATAGATACAGTTTATAGAAGGCATTAAGACATAAAGCAGATTATTGAAACTTCACTGTACACTGTAACCGTATAATTGACTTTTACTTATATATTTCCTCTTTTACTTTGAAGTTTGTGTTCAAATCAAAAGATGAGAACCTTAAATTAATCAAGTTTTATAATATTTTATTTTAGATTTTTGTAAAAGTGAATGCTTTTTATATTCCATAGCAAGTAACTGAAAAGCTACTGAAAAGTGTCCAACCCAAGAATTTTGTGTATTTTTCATTTTGAATATACTTCTCAGTGATTTCAATTTTGAATCCTAGCCCTTTTAAATTTCAGAATACACAGTAGTTTAAAATGGCTTCAATAAGGCTGGGCGCGGTGGCTCGCACCTCTAATCCCAGGGCTCAGGGAGACCGAGGTGGGTGGATCACGAGGTCAGGAGTTTGAGAACAGCCTGACCAAGTGGTAAAACCCCGTCTCTACTAAAAATACAAAAATTAGCTGGGCATAGTGGTGCGCACCTGTAATCCCAGCTACTCAGGAGGCTGAGGTAGGAGAATTACTTTGACCCCGGGAGGCTGAAGTTGCAGTGAGCCGAAATCGCACCACTGTACTACAGCCTGGGCCACAGAGTGAGACTCCGTCTCAAAAGAAAAAAAAAAGGGTGGGGGGGCTTTAATAAATTAAGTGGTACATTTTAAATATTTTAATTGTTTATTAGATATTACGTATGCAGATAAACCTGTTTAAATATAGAAGATTTATATTCCTATTTACATATATCCTTTTGACAAATTAGAATTGAAAATAATATAAAAATAAATTTTCAGCTGGGCACGGTGGCTCACACCTGTTCCCAGCATTTTGGGAGGCCGGGGCAGGCGGATCACGAGGTCAGGAGATTGAGACCACGGTAAAACCCCGTCTCTACTAAAAATACAAAAAATTAGCTGGGTGCAGTGGCGGGCGCCTGTAGTCCCAGCTACTCAGGAGGCTGAGGCAAGAGAATGGCGTGAACCCGGGAAGCGGAGCTTGCAGTGAGCTGAGATGGTGCCACTGCACTCCAGCCTGGGCAACAGAGTGAGACTCCATCTCAAAAAAAATAAATATATAAAATAAAAAATTAAATAAAAAAATAAATTTTCTTTCTGTCATGCAGACTTAAATAGTAAAATATCTTCCTTCTATTATTTTTATCTTTTTTGTTTATGATGGTTAGGAAGTGAATATCTAATTTTCTATACTGTGAAAAATACACATAAAGTATCATGGAAGTTCAACATTCATTTTCCTTGAAAATAATTCCAAAGTTTTCTTCTCCAGAAATATATCCTGTTATCATTAAGTTTAGTTGTACTGATAAATGGCAGTTGATGATTTGTAAGTTTTTAAACATATTTATTCATAACACTTATTTTTTTTCTTTTTGAGACGGAGTCTCACTCTGTTGCCCAGGCTGGAGTGCAGTGGTGTGGTCTCGGCTCACTGCAACCTCCACCTCCTGGGTTCAAGCAGTTCTCTGCCTCAGCCTCTCAAGTAGCTGGGATTACAGGCACCTGCCACCACGCCCGGCTAATTTTTTTTTGTATTTTTAGTAGAGATGGGGTTTCACCATCTTGGCCAGGCTGGTCTTGAACTCCTGACCTCGTGATCCACCCGCCTCGGCCTCCCAAAGTGCTAGGATTACAGGGGTGAGCCACCACGCCCTGCCTTTTTTTTTTTTTTTTAAAGATGGAATCTCACCGTGTCGCCCAGGCTGGAGTGCAGTGGTGCGATCTCTGCACACTGCAACCTCCGTCTCCCGGGTTTGAGTAATTCTTCTGTCTCAGCCTTCCGAGTAGCTGCGAATACAGTGCCTGGCTGATTTTTGTATGTTTAGTGGAGACAGGGTTTCACTGTGTTGGCCAGGCTGGTCTCGAACTCCTGACCTCAGGTGATCCCCCCGCCTCAGCCTCCCAAAGTTCTGGGATTACAGGTGTGAGCCCCTGTGTCCGACCTATTTTCCTCTTTTTCTTTTTACTTTTTCCCTTCCCTTTATTTCTTCCTTTCACTGTTTTCATCTTTTATGTCTCTCACCCTCGCCCTTCCTCAGTTCAATTCAAAGAGCAATATACTGCCATATCTGGAGAATTTTTAGCTGGAATTTAATCTTTATTTTAAAAGAGTAAGAATTTATACCAATTATTATGTTTTCGACTGAGGTCGTTTTACAGAAGGAATTCTTTTTTTTATGTAGGAATGTGTTTTAAGACTTTTTGTTTCTAATGTCTTAGTTTTCTAGAGAAAAAAAGGTAAAAGATTGACATTATTCTCATAGTCTTTTACTCTTTTCTCAAAGGTCTTAGTTCAGGTCCTAATTTTCTTTCAATTATACTCATTTATTTAACCAGTCTCCTTTAGGTGGTCATTTGGGTTGTATACATATTCTTGTCTGTGTTTTATCAGTAATGTATTATATAATTTCATGTATGTACAAATATATATTTGAAGGATAACATTCTAAAATTGCTGAGTTAAAGGGTATATGCATTTATAAACTTGACAGATATTACCAGTTGTCCTCTATAAAGTGAAACTGGTTTATATCACCACAGCTAACATATAAATGTCTGTTTTCTACCATATTATTAAGTTACTGAACTTTATCCATCTGATGGAAAAGGAGAAATCTGATTGTACTTTATTTTTTATATTTTTAATATTTTTATGAGCCGTCTTGGCATGTTGGCCAGGATGGTCTCAAACTCCAGCCTCAAGCAATCCTCTCACCTCAGTCTCCCAAAGTTCTGGGACTACAGGCATTAGCTACCATGCCTGGCCCTGATTACCACCCCACCACCCACCCCCCATCCCCTTTTTTTTTTTTTTTTTTTTTGAGACAAGGTCTCACTCTGTCACCCATGTTAGAGTGTGGTGGTGTGATCACTGCTCACTGCAGCCTTGGCCTCCTGGGCTGAGGTGATTCTCCTGTCTCAGCCTCCCAAGTAGCTGGGACCACAGACACATGCCACCATGCCTGGCTGATTTTTTAAATTATTTGTAGGGAAGTGGTCTCGCTATGTTGCCCAGGCTAGGCTCAAACTCCTGAGCTCAAGTTATCCTCCCACCTCGGCCTCCCAAAGTGCTGTAATTACAGGACTGAGCCACTGTGCCCAGCCTCTGATTATACTTTTAATTGTAACTTCTCTTATGCTTGAAGTTGAACATATACAGTAAAGACGTTATGGTATTGTAGGCTGAAGTTTCAGAATCATCCAGGACCAATGATGTTAGCAGAAATGCAAAACTAGCCAAGGAGTATCGAGAGGACAAAATTGATAATTGATATTGTTATTACCTTCAAAGTTTGATTGCATTGATTAGCTTATTATTTTTATTAAAATCATTTTAAAGAGCATATAAAGTTCTATGCCAAAGCATGTTTGGCCTGACAAGTTGGGCTGTCACTTCCTTTTGACAAGACTTTCATTTTTATCAGCTTTAAATGCATGTGTCATTACTATTCTGGTTAGGTAACATAATTATCCCACTGCAGAATATATAATTTCAAAAGAGTCTTGTGGATATTTGATGCCTTTTCCTCTGAAAACAATTGAATTGTTTTCAGACCACTTTTATTTCAGTAAGATAAACGTAATCCTTCCTTTAATTGTAATGTAAAATTTAAGAGCATATTGAAATGAAAAGAAAAGCTCAACACTACCTATATTTTGAAAGTTATAAGAGACTAGATAAGTTGGATTTTATGTTTCTTGTGGTACAGAATAGAAACAAAGGTCATTCAAACTAAGTTTGAATGAGAATTAAGTTTAATGGCTCACTTGCTAAACCTGAGTTGCACAATCCTCACAATTCCTTAGGGATGTGGCAAGGTCATCCTTAAATGTAAAGTTCTTGCTCACTTAATGGAAAGCACTGTAGATACATAAATAACATTGTTACCTGTCTTAGTGGGTCAGTATAAAAGACGGGGGTGGTGGTATATGTGAGAATAGTGAAATTTATAGCTAGTTTTGAGGCCCTTGTGACTTTTAAGAGGTATTATGAGTCACCTTAACAAGTTAGTGTTTGTGACATAGTTTCAATTTCTTATGTGAAAGATAGTATTTCAGTTGTAAATGTTCTCTTAATATTCTGGAGAGCTACTCTTTCCTAGCCCCTCTGTTTTACTGACTTTAAAAGTTGTTTACAGTTTGTTTCATGTTCAAATGTAGGGTTTTAGTAATTCCTTGGGGTGGGGGGCAGGAATGGGCAGAAGGCCATTGTCTCTAATTTTCCTTTTCCCAACTTTCACTTTCTTTTTTCTATGGATTACATGTCAAGGTGGGTGAGAAAAATGGTGGGGATTGAGAAAAGGGAGCAACTTATTTTTTGTAGGGGAGGTCCAAAATAAAGTCACTTAAGGAATCTGACATAAAATTTAAATATATGATGAAGCTTGTGCAAGGGGATTATAAGAACTGATTTTACTTTAACCCTTCCTGCTTTATAAAAAGATCTTGTTGATGGCAAAAAGACAAACGCTTTAGCAAACTGTACTGTACACCTTGCATTTGTTTGTATTAATATTAGTTGTTTTATTTTTTAATATGGAGTCTCACTCTGTTACCCAGGATGGAGTGCAGTGGCGCAATCTCGGCTCACTGCAACCCCTGCCTCCTGGGTTCAAGCAATTCTTCTGCCTCAGCCTCCCGAGTAGCTGGGATTATAGGTGCCATCATGCCCGGCTAATTTTTGTATTTTTAGTAGAGACAGGGTTTCACCATGTTGGTCAGGCTGGTCTCGAACTCTTGACCTCAAGTGATCCACCCGCCTCAGCCTCCCAAAGTGCTGGGATTACAGGTGTGAGCCACCGCACCCGGCAGTATTAGTTGTTTTATATTGTAGACTCTTAAATGATGTGGACTATGTGTTGTAAAATCCCTACCCTGAAGTACAATGCATTTAGATGTCCCCCCGCCCTTTTTAACTTAAATCCTTTTTCCCCCTTGCAGTCAGTGCATTTTTATATTTCTACATGCTTTGTGAGAAATGTGTAAAGGAAATATTTTTGCATCTAATTGTTCTAACTTCCAAAGGTTCTTTACTGAGTTAAAAAAAACTGGTTTTTTTTTGGTCTAAACTGAATTTTGTCTGTCTTTCCCCTACTCAGGCCCAGATTACCTTCCTACAGGGAGAAAGGAAGGGCCAAGAAAATTTGAAGAAGGATCTTGTGAGGAGGATCAAAATGTTGGAGTATGCTCTTGAACAGGAAAGGTAATTCAGTAAAATGAAAAGTGGTGTTCTTTTTTGTTTGTTTTGAGATGGAGTTTCATTCTCGTTGCCCAGGCTGGGGTGCAATGGTGCGATCTTGGCTCACCTCAACCTCCACCACCTGGTTCAAGCAATTCTCCCGCCTCAGCCTCCCCAGTAGCTGGGATTATAGGCATGCACCACCACACCCAACTAATTTTGTATTTTTAGTAGAGACGGGCTTTCTCCATGTTGGTCAGGCTGGTCTCGAACTCCTGACCTCAGGTGATCTGCCCACCTCGGCCTCCCAAAGTGCTGGGATTACAGGTGTGAGCCACTGGGCCTGGCCAAAATGGTGGTCTCTTAAATGCTGGAACAATTTTTTCATCATTCCTAAAATAAATTGAAATGTTAATACTGCTTGAGTTCAGGTGTGTCTGTAGTAAACATTTGTATGAATGGTTGTAATATGTTAATTTTATTATGAATAGTTTAATAATGATCAAAAAACTGATTTATATGATTTCTTAAAAATTAGCAACATTTTTTTCCTACTCTGCCTGTTTTGAAGAAGCAGATGTGCTCCCTGAGCTGTTAATACCCACTCATTTTAAAGTTGAAATAGTTTTTAATTTTTAAAGGAGGTTTCTATAATGTTTACTCCTTTTCCTGTCATTTAATATTATTCAATTTGATGTATTTTCTTTAGAAAAAAAATTGTTCTAGCAGACTATGTTAAGATTCTATATAGACTTTTTTTTTTGAAACGGAGTCTCGCTCTGTTGCCCATGCTGGAGTGAGGTGGTGCAATCTCGGTTCACTGCAAGCTCCACCTCCCAGGTTCATGCCATTCTCCTGCCTCAGCCTCCCAAGTAGCTGGGACTACAGGTGCCCGCCACCACACCTGGCTAATTTTTTGTATTTTTAGTAGAGATGGGGTTTCACCATGTTAGCCAGGATGGTCTCGATCTCCTGACCTCGTGATCCCCCAATCTTGGCCTCCCAAAGTGCTGGGATTACAGGCGTGAGCCACCGCGCCCAGCCTATAGACTTTTTTTGTGTATTTTGTTTCTTTGCTGTCTGCCGTTACAATCTGTCCAGAAGCTTGTCTTACCTTTCTATTTTGCTAGTGTCTAAGATACTCCAGTAACTAAATTTGGGTCACAAGTAAAGGAAAATAGGTCATGAGTGAGATTTTTAGATGTTATATGAGTTATTTATTTGCTTTAATGAATGGGCCTTGGATTTTTTTGTCGACAATCTGAGTTCATTTGTTTAAGATAACTGAGTACTTATAGGTGATATTGGAATTATCTATTTTGCTACTTTCTTGCTTTGTTTTTAATGATGCTTGTTTTGTTTTTCTCTTTTTGAAGTTGGTGAATGGGATATTTGCAATAAAATGGCATTTAGATGCAATTAGATAAATAGATAATATTTATGAGTAATGAGAAACAGATAAAATTTTATTAGAACTTATGTTCATCAACATGTAGAATGGTGTAAGAGATTGAAAATAGGTTGACCTCTTAGTGAAAAATACGTGTTTCTTTTCATACTTTGGGAAAGTTGATGAAAAGCTGTATCAGGGACATGGAAAGAAAAAAACATTTTTAGGCTGGGCGTTGTGGCTCACGCCTGTAAACCCAGCACTTTGGGAGGCTGAGGCGGGCAGATCACAAGGTCAGATCAAGACCATACTGGCTAACATGGTGAAACCCCGTCTCTACTAAAAATATAAAAAAATTAGCCAGGCATGGTGGCGGGCACCTGTAGTCCCAGCTACTTGGGAGGCTAAGCAGGAGAATGGTGTGAACCCAGGAGGCGGAGCTTGCAGTGAGCCGAGATTGCACCACTGCACTCCAGCCTGGGCGACAGAGCAAGACTCCATCTCAAAAAAAAAATAAAAATAAAAAAAATAAAAAACATTTTTAAAAATACATAATTTGGGAGTAGTGAGATTTTTTTTTTTTTTTTTTTTTTTTTTTTTTTTTTTTTTTTTTTTTGAGGTGGAGTCCTGCTTTGTTGCCTAGGCTGGAGTGCAGTGGTGTGATCTCGGCTCACTGCAACCTCTGCCTCCCGGGCTCAAGCAATTCTCCTGTCTCAGCCTCCGGAGTTGCTGGGACTACAGGCGCATGCCACCATGCCCGGCTAATTTTTTTTGCATTTTTAGTAGAGACAGGGTTTCACCATATTGGTCAGACTGGTCTTGAACTACTGACCTCAGGTAATCCACCACCTCAGCCTCCCAAAGTGCTGGGATTACAGGCGTGAGCCAATGTACCTGGCCGAGTATTTGAGATTTTTTTTTTTGAAACGGAGTTTTGCTCTGTTGCCAGGCTGGAGTGCAGTGGCACGATCTCGGCTCACTGCAACCTCTGCCTCCTGGGTTCAAGCAGTTCTCCTGCCTCAGCCTCCCGAGTAGCTGGGATTACAGGCACTCGCCACCATGTCCAGCTAATTTTTGTATTTTTAGTAGAGACGGAGTTTCACCATGTTGGCTGGGATGGTCTCAATCTCTTGACTTTGTGATCCATCTGCCTCAGCCTCCCAAAGTGCTGGGTGGCGTGAGCCACTATGCGTGGCCTGGAGTGGTTATTTTCATCTGGAAGAGGAAAGTAGAAAGGAGTGCAGAGTAAGAGGAGGTGAGGCTTGAATAGCATCAAATAAGAAGGTGCTTGTCAGACAGACAAGGTGCAGGAAGTAGAGAGAACATGTTTGACATGGAACAAAGCAGTTTGGTGTGTTCAGAAATTTGTAATCTTTGTGTGTGGAGAGTAGGATGTTGGTTGTGGTCCTCCTCTCAGTTGATGACCGATAATGGTAGAGGGGGCAAGAGTCAGATCACAGAGAGCCTAACCAAGGAGTTCAAACTTTTATCTTACATGTAACAGGGAATGTGGGAGGTTTAATTTTTTTTTTTTGAGACAGGGTCTTGCTCTGTTGCCCAGGCTGTAGTGCAGTGGCACAGTCATTGTTCATTGCGGTGCCAACCTTCTGGGCACAAGTGATCCTCCCACTTCAGCCTCCCAAGTGGCTGGGAATACAGATATACTCCAGTCCACACAGACAAATTTTTAATTTTTTAGAGAGACAGAGTCTCACCCTGTTGTCAGGGCTGGTCTGGAACTCCTGGGCTCAAGCAGACCTCCTGCTATAGCCTCTCAAAGTGCCGTGATTATAGGCGTGAGTCACCATGCCCAGCCAAAAATATTTTATGTAAAATGATCTCAAACTAATAGAGGAGTTGCAAGAATCTTGTATACCCTTTACCCAGATTCACCAATTGAAAATGTTTTGCTATATTTGCTTTATTGTGTTTGCTCTCTCTGTAGGTATCATTTTTTCCCCTAAATCATTTGCTAGTTTGTCCCTAACTACCTCTGTGTATATTTCCTAAGAGCAAGGACATTTCCTTATGTGATTATAGTACATTACCAAGTTAAAGAAATGTAACATTGATATTCTATTATCTGATATAGTCTATATTCAGATGTTCTAAAAAGGATCTTTATAGCATTTTTTTTTCCCCTGGTCCAGGATCCAATCTGGAAATATATACTGCATTTAGTTGTTAAGCACTTGAAAGTTTTAAGCAAGATAGAGTATGAAATACATTTTAGAAAGATCTCCTGACCTCAGTGTGGGGGTGGACTGGAAAGATCTGTAAACACAGCCAGAAAGATTGTAATAGTCTAAGATGAGAAATGATAAAACAGTAGCTGCTGAAATAGAGACACATCAACTATAAAAAATTTTTAAATACAGTCCATGAAATCTGAAGCTTATATAAAAATTTGGAGATGGGACAGGGGGTGAGTGAGAAAGATAATTTGAGAATGACTCCCATGTTCCTGGCTTGAAGGACTATCTGAATTGTGAGAGACTTTTAGAAGGTATCAAATGAATTAAAAAGAAGAATTAAAGAGCAGATATGTGAGGGGGACGCATGATGAGAGATATATGCTTGGGAATCATCAGTATTATTGTGAATGAAGTGAAAGGAGTAGTTGATAGAACAAGTATTGTGGAAACAGAAAAGAGAACTAGAAGGAGTGAGAGGAAGTAGAAATATTTGAAGAGAAGGCAGAGGAAGAAGAGCCAACAAAGAAATAGAGAAGGAAGGAGGAGAGAGTAGTATTTTGGAAGTGAGTTAAAGGAGGAAGTTCAATAACTGAAGATGCTAAGTAGACTCCAAGTAAGTTGTATACTGAAAATAGTCATTTGGAGTTGCCAGTTGGAAGCTTACTAGTACCCTTACTAAAGCAGCCTCAGTAAGGCAGCAGGAACATGCGCCAGATCACAGAGGATCGAGGGCTGAGAAGGATGAAGTGGGGAGAGATGGAGTTGCTTATTATTATTATTATTATTTTCTTTGAGACAGAGTCTTGCTCTGTCACCAGGCTGGAGTGCAGTGGCGTGATCTCGGCTCACTGCAACCTCCGCCTCCTGGGTTCAAGCCATTCTCCTGCCTCAGTCTCCTGAGTAGCTGGGACTACAGGCGTGTGCCACCACGCTGGGCTATTTTTTGTATTTTTAGTAGAGATGGGGTGTCACCATCTTGGCCAGGATGGTCTCGATCCCTTGACCTTGTGATCCGCCCTCCTTGGCCTCCCAAAGTGTTGGGATTACAGACGTGAGACACCACGCCTGGCAGAGTTGCTTATTTTTTAAAGAAATTTGACTCTGAAGGACAGTAGAGATAAGGAACTGGCTGAATCTAGGGAATATTTTTTTCTTCTTTTTCTTAACTAAATGGGATTGCTCCTGGAAAAGAGTTCCTGCTTTTGTGTCTTTTTTTTTTTTTTTTGAGATGGAGTTTTGCTCTTGTCGCCCAGGCTGGAGTGCAATGGCACAATCTCGGCTCACTGCAACCTCCACTTCCCGAGTTCAAGTGATTCTCCTGCCTCAGCCTCCCCAGTAGCTGGGATTACAGGCATGCACCACCACACCCAGCTAATTTTGTATTTTTGGTAGAGACGGGGTTTCTCCATGTTGGTCAGACTGGTTTCAAACTCACAACCTCAGGTGATCCGCCCACCTCGGCCTCCCAAAGTGTTGGGATTACAGACGTGAGCCACCGCACCCAGCCTGGTTTTGTATCTTTTGAAGTATATGGAATGATTTGGGATTATTCTTGATGTTATGGCACTATTTGTATAATCTAAGAAATTTTTAAAAAGCATTTATTTGTGGCTTGAATTTTAAATTGAATTTTTAAAAAATTTATTGAGGAAAGTTTGAAATATACTCATAGAGAAACTAATGTCTTTGATATATAGCCCCAAGTTTTAACAGTTAATGTTTTTGTCAGTCTTTTTCACCTTGATCTATTTTAATGCAATTCCAGATACCTCGTCATTTCACCTGTAAGTGCCTAAGTAAAGATCATGATTTTACATGATTTTCTTCGCATGATTTTTGCAGATTTTCTAAGTAGTCCCACTTTAGGATCCAAAAGTAAAACCGAATTATTAATGTTACAGAAGAATTACCTACCTAGCAGTGGATTTATCAAAGCATTCCTGTCTGGGAAGACCTGGGCTTCCCAGACAGGCCTGAGGATCATCACATGGTGTTCAGCACATACCACCAGGGGCAGGTGCACCCTGGCTTCTGAAGTAGCACCTGAGAATCCCCTGTGTCTAGTACCTGCTTCATGAATAACATTCCATAGGCTTCGGAAAGACTGTGGTTTAGGCTCTAATTTATTCAACTTGAATAATTTCTCCTTGAAATACTGAGAATAGCTTCTCTTTTGCTGTACAAATTCCAATTATCCCATAACACAGACTCCTCAGTTGGACTTATCTCTCTTCTTTATTCAGTCAGGACAGGCATTGTCACATCTTTTCTGCTGGGGATGAGGGTGAAAGAGGCTTAGGGTTCAGAGGAACCTCCCTGGCCTCCTCTAGGAAAATCTCCCAATGACTTTCCAAACCTGACTGAGTTTGAGAACTTCCCTCAGCAGATAGAGGCACCAGAAGGAGCATTGGGGCAGCCCAGCCTCACACATCTGCTTCCTTGGGGATTATGTTATGACTTGTAACGCTGTGGGAGGGGTACTGTCACTCTGTTGACAGTAATAAGTTGCAAAATCTTCAGGCTGCAGGCTGCGGATGGTGAGAGTGTAATCTGCCCCAGATCCACTGTCACTGAACCGAGAGGGAATCCCACTTTGCAGACTGGATGCAGCATAGATCAGGAGCTTAGGAGTTTTCCCTGGTTTCTGCTGATACCAATTTAAATTATTGCTAATGCCCTGACTCGCCCGGCAAGTGATGGTGACTCTGTCTCCTACAGATGCAGACAGGGAGGATGGAGACTGGGTCATCTGGATGTCACATCTGGCACCTGAAGTTGGAAGCATAAAAACAAATATTGTTGCAATTAATCATGTTATCAGAGGACTTCCCTGAAGTTCCAGACAGTACTGAGCACACTGACCGAGTATAATCCTAGTGTTCTCCTTCCTTACCTGGCAGCCAGAGCACCAGGAGCCCCAGGAGCTGAGTGGGGGCCCTCATGTCTATGCTGTGTCCTGACTGGGGCTGATTCCTGCTCCGGGTGTGACCAGCCTATAAAAAGTCTTCAGGGCAGGGGGCTGTGCTCTAGGAACAGGCAAATCAGCAGGGGATGGGGCAGGCTGAGCACAGCTGCAGGGCTGGCTCATCTCAGTAACTCAGCACAGGGGCGCAGTATCCCCAGAGTCCCAGGTCAAACCAGGGCAGCACAGATTTACCTTGAAAGAATGCATTTCTCATTGGTGGCCATATGGTTACAGAACATATTTTTGGAGTGAATTTTCAAAATTTTAAATCAACCTAAGACTAGATTAAATAATATATTTATACTTGTATTAGGAGTGTATAGGAAAGCATCATTTTTGGCAGAAAATTTACAATAAAGTTGTAGAATGTGGGGCTGTCAGAAATTTCAGTTAGTCTCAAAGGAATTTGATGAGTGTAAAAGTATTTAGTGCTATAATAACAATGTCAGTGTGAAATTGCTTCTTGTTTGAAATGAATATAAAAAGAATTTATCAGAAGCATCTTTAATAAATTCAATAGAATTTACTAACAAACTTAAGACATTGTCCCTAGGAGTAAAAGGAAAAACAATTCTCTGAAGATGCACCAAGATGATAACTGTGTCACACATAGATCTGCCATTATCCAGAGCTATGGGTCTCTTTAAGACCCAGGGGCTAAATGGGCTGCACCTTATTCTTGGCGTGATGATCCCCATATTCTATCCCCTTTCCTGCCTTTGGTATAATTTCTTATGGTTCTCCAGCATGGAGAGCTGACTAGTAACACCAGGTCTCATTATTTCAACTAAAATCTCTGTTTCACTCGCTGACTATAGGAGCCTGGATTAAAATCAACTTGAAGCCCTGTATCAATCTAGGCTCAAATAGTCAATTGTTTCAAAGTAGGATGACAAAGGCCACATCCCCTGAGTAATGCTCTGAGCTGCGCTCCCCACCAGCCTGTTCCTGGGGTCTCAGGAGCATCTGCCCTAGAGTCTGGCTTTCTGGAGAGCAGGTGAGGGGGAAAAGCCAGGTCAGTGAGCCTCTCTCCTTAGTGAGGGCAGCTGCTGCACAAGGCATGTTCTTGCCATGCACCAGGGCATCATCCTGACCCAGATGCCAGCCACCCTGTCTCACATGCATTTAGAGAGAATCTCCATCTTCTGCCAAGACACTGCCCATGTAGATGAAAAAGTGTTTTGCATCCAAACATATCTTAAGCACTGATTTGCACCTCAATACTTCACACAGATGCCTTTGCCCAGGGCATGTTGGCCTGGCTCAACAGCAGGGGAAGTGGAGCCAATTACATCAGTGTCAGTGGACTGAGAAATACTCCAGGGAGTAGTTCTCATGCAGGACTACCCATGGCCAGACCAAGGTAGTGCAGCCTATGCACAAACCTCCTCCTGCTTTTCCAGAGGACTGGATTTCTGGGAAATGGCTACCGAACAGGCTGCCAGGATCCATATATCCAGATTCAGAGAGATACATCTCTGGATTCAAATGCACTTTTTCTTTGTGCATAATTTTAGCAGTCATTGTTACTATGCCTTGGGGATTCTAGACATTATACTTCAGCTGACTCTCTATGGCCCTTTCTCCCCTTCACTGCTCTATCTGAACCTGGGGAAGCAGCTCAGGCTGCAAATGAGGCAGACCTCATGGCCTGGAATTAGCATCCCCTAGGACGGTTGTCAATCAGTGATGACAAGGGAGGTGTACACATCCCCCAGCTCCCTCACCTCTCAGGTGGAATAACAGAGGCATTTTTCCTGTGTTTCTATGTGGGCTTGAGCTCTCGTCATCCTCAGAGGTGGCTCCTTCTGAGGCACTTTTCACTTTCCCTTTCCCTCCTCCCCTCCCTTGCTCACTTGCTTGTTTCCCGCACTTTGTAAATATACTGCCTGCATGCGAATCTTTGGCATCCTTCTCACTGAGGGGACCCAACCTAATGCATTGGAAAAATCCTCATTCTTGGAGGGCATCGTTGGTTTGAATTATTGCCACTTCTCATGTTTTAATGCCTAGGGAAATTCCAAAAATTTAGGAAATCTTTAAATTCCCTTTGCCAATCTTTCTTAGATTTGATTTTAGCAGAGATTCATTTTCTCTAGGTCACAAAATCACAGAAGCCTTCCACAAATGGCTACACAACATAGAGTCCACATAGAGCAGAGGCTCAGAATCTCCCAGGATTTGACATCCACACATCAGACAGTCCTAGAGTCTCAGGTTTTTTCTAGGTCGATCGCCTCGTAAATCTGCCTTGTGATATTTTTATTCTACCTTAGAGGAAGGCCATTGTGTGGATGATGAGAGTTGTTTGTGGAATGAATAATACACCCACTAAAGACATCATTGTCCTAATATCTGGAATCTATGATCATTACTTATGAACAAGTCAAAAATAACTTGGCAGACGTGGTTGAGAATTTTGAGGTCAGGAGAGTATCCTGAATTATCTGGGTGAGACCATCATAATCACAAGGGTCCTTACAATAGGGAGGGAGGAAGGTAACAGCCAGAGAGGACCTGGGACAATGGACAGGGAAACTGGAGTGATGGAGGAAGGGGCCATGCTGCTAGGAATGTGGGAACATCAGAAAGATGGAATGCTCGACATTGGATTCTCTCTCTTGAAGCCTAGAATGAATAGAGCCCTATTACTCCTTGATTTTACTTCATTGAGACTTCTGACCTCCAGAAATGTAAGATAATACACTTGTGTTATGTGGAGTAGTAAAGTTGTGGTAATTTGTTACAGCAGCAACAGGAAACCAATGCAAGGGGAAGGGGTGTGTTTTACTTCCCTAGTGTATCACTGTCCTCTGTTCTCCCAAATAGTTCTGTGTTTTTGTGTTTGCTGTCAATTTCAACAAGAGACAGAAAACATTTTTCTATGAGGAGAGCTAGTACCACAATTCTTCTTACGTAGAAAGTGTCTTGAGTAATTCTCTGGGTTAGGTCTTGTACAATCTTGGTATCTGAGAGCCTGGAGGTCATCTCTCACAGCACATGAGAAGAGGAAGGGGATGCGGGTTTGCTGTTTTAACATTCATAGGGCAAATTGGATGTACAAGACCCATTCTTTTTATTATTATTATTATTGTTAAGTTCTAGGTTACATGTGCACAACATGCAGGTTTGTTACATATGTATACATGTGCCATGTTGGTGCGCTGCACCCATTAACTCGTCATTTACATTAGGTATATCTCCTAATGCTATCCCTCCCCCCTCCCCACACCCCACAACAGTCCCCGGTGTGTGATATTCCCCTTCCTGTGTCCACGTGTTCTCATTGTTCAATTCCCACCTATGAGTGAGAACATGCAGTGATTGGTTTTTTGTCCTTGCGATAGTTTGCTGAGAATGATGGTTTCCAGCTTCATCCATGTCCCTACAAAGGACATGAACTCATCCTTTTTTATGGCTGCAAGCGAGGACTGAGTCAGAGAGATGGGGATGGCAGAGGAGACAAAATGTGGTCAGGGCCGTGTAAGATGTGACCCTGCTGCCATATCTGAAAGAAAGGCTGTTGGTGTTTGTAAAGGCTTTGGGCAAATTGTGCTTTGTAGACAAAACTGTAGAAGGGTCTGGGTTTAAGCTTAGTGTCAGCGTGATGAGGACTAGAGGTTGCAGTGAGCTTGTGTTAAGAAATCCACCCTGCACTTCTGGCTTTGTCTCTTTTCCGGTTTTATAGGTGGTGGGTCCCTCTATGGAATGAACGTGGCTCTGTGGAAGGAACATAAGTTAAGGTCAGACAGACCTAGATTCCAAGTTCAGCTTCGACAACTGCTGACCAAGTGACTTTTATGCAAATCAGCCATGTGCTGTCATGAACAGTTTCCTCATGTGTGAAATGGGGCACTGAGGATGTGAAGGGGTGTCCTGAGGGTTCCGCCAGCTGATGCACCATGAAGTGTACATACATGTATAGACAGACACACACACATACATGAGAAGAGTATCTAGTGCCTCTTTTATGCATTCTTGAGTAACTCAGAATGTTATGTGAGATATTAACAGTCATATGTCATTTTCAACTAAAATTATCAATATTTATCTTATAACTAACAGATGCTTCTCTGTACACTGTAGGTTTCATGTACATTTTTTCAATCACAAAATTTTTCACCAATCTATTTACATCTAGTATCAGAAAGTTAAGCAAGGAGATTGCAAACCAACACAACACCTTTAGTCTGGATTTTCCCGGAGCCCCATTTGTGTTAGTGTCCTCGGGCTACTGTAACAAGTTCTCAAAAATGTGGTAGCTTCACACAACAGGAATGGAATCTCTCATAGTTCAGAAGTCCAGATCAGTTTCACTGGGCTAAGATCTTGGAGTCATCAGTTCTGGCTCCTTCTGAAGCTCTAGGGATCAGTCTGATTTAGCTTTTCCAGCTTCTGGTGGCTTCTCTCTCCCGGGATGTGGACACATCACTACAATCTCTGTCTCTGTGTTCACACTGCCTTCTCCACTTCAGTCTATGCTAAATCTCTCTCTACCTCTTGTTTTTTTTAGGACACTTGAGTTTGCATTTAAGTCCCAGTTGATTAATCTAAGACCATCTCCCTGTTTCAAGCTCCTTAATTTACACCTGCAAAAGCTGTTTTCCCAAATGAGATACATGCATAGTCTTCATGGAATGAAACCTCACTATTTGGGGATGATACTCAGTACTACACCATTACATAACCAGGTCTCAGTGTTAGTCCTGTACATACATCACAATCTCTCTCTCTCTCTCTCTCTCTCTCTCTCTCAATGTCCACACACCCTGGCTTCCTCCTTTTCTCAATGTCATAAATCTCTTCAATTCCTTAAGTGTATCCAGTGATACCTATAAACAAATAAGTATCTGAGAAAAGTCTCAATCAGTTTAGAAATTTATTTGGTCAAAGTTAAAGAAATATCAGTGAAACAGCCTCAGGAGGTCTTGAGAACGTGTGTCAAAGGTCGTCGGGCTACAGGTTGGTTTTACACGTTTTAGGCAGACATAAGATATCAATCAATACGTGTAAGCTGCACATTGCTTTGATATGAAAAGGCAGGACAGCCCGAAGGAGGGGGGATGTTGGGGACTTCCAGGTCCTAGGTGGATTCAAAGATTTCATAGGTGGTTGAAAGAGTTTATCTAATGACCTGTAATCAACACAAGGGAGTTTCTGGGTTTAGAAAAAGGGTTTTGGAGCCAAGGTTGCATCATGCAGATGAAGCCTCCAGGTAGCAGGCTTCAGAGAGAATAGATTGTAATTGTTTCTTAGCAGACTTAAAAGGTGCCAAACTCTTAGTTAAATCTCTCTGGGTCAGGAAAGAGACTTAAAAAGGAGTCTCTACAGAATGTAGATTTTTCCCACAAGAACCAGCTTTGCAGAGGCATTTTTAAATACATTAAATAACAATATCTTGGGGAAAATACTTTGATTTCTCTTAGGACGTGGTATCTGTCACATTGGTATCTTATTGCTATAAAGAGTTTTCTTTGTCAGTCTCAAGGTCTCTGTCTTCATATTAAAAGCTGGTCAGTTGTGCCTGAATTTTAAAGGGAAGAGGGTAAGTTAAGGCATATCCAATCATCCGTTCCGATCATGGGCTGCCTTGTATTTCAGGTTGATTTTGGTGTGTGCTTGGCTGAGAGGAGGAGTTCATTCAGTTGGTTAGGGAGCTTAGAGTTTCATTTTTGGTTTACACACCTATGTCCAGGTAAGAGGGCCCCACACAGGAGGGCTTGCTCAGAACCTGGCTTGCAGGGCTGCTTATGGACCTTCTATGTCTCCTGTTGTCATGCACAAGGAAGGACACAGCCAATGACAACCCTCAGCCATCCGAGGAGAAGCTGTGTCTGCAGAGGACGGTCATGAGCTGTGAGTCTAGAGACCTGTGATTGTCTTCAGGGGCCTGTGGTCCTCGGCTTTCATAGGAGTTGTGGGGGCACTGGCTCAAATAGCATCCACCAGGATTCTAATCAGAATATCTCATTCACAGAAGGCAGTGGGTGATATGACAGCACAGAGGGACTCTGTGGGTCCAGCTGCATGGAGCACTCTGGGAGAGTCACTGGCACCTGTGCTAGACAGAGCTTCATTCAACTTCTGGAGCACACGGATTTAGATCTCTTTACATCATTTTGAAAGACCACTTATCATTCTGAAGGAAACCACTGTAATTAACTAAGGTAACATCTTTAATAGGTAGAAAGAAAAAAGTGATTATTTTATTGCCAAGATGATTACAAGAAAAGAAAGAAACAAAAATAGCATGAAGGAAAGAGCAACACTAGACTGAGGGCTTTGGGTAAGAGGTTGAGACTTAGTAGTGAATGCCCTGGGCCATCTTCTGTCAAAAGGGAGGGACAATCAGCAAAGGGAAATATGCAGTAGAGGCAAAATCTTGGTTAGTAAAAGAATCCTAAGAGAAAACAAGAAGTCTCCTTCCTGAGCATCATGTTGGTGTCGGGAAGATGCACATAATCCCCCCATTGCATGTCTTAACACTTTTCAGCAATTAGGGCTCAGCATGAATTTAGAAGACACCATTCACTTCACAGCAGATGGGGACACAGTCAAGGCAGCGGTGAGAGGCAAGGCTGGGCTTTCAGTCTCAGAGCACAGAGCAGGTTCCCCACTACTCCGCACCCTTGTGTCTCCTCCCAGATGTTCCAGATGTTCCACCTCATTCTTGCCTTAAGGGCTCCAAGTTGTTAATGGGACAGTAGCCCTCTTCCTTTCCCAGGGTTTCTAAGAATTTGGCTCTCTTTTGTGTATTGCGGGGTTTGTTTGCCATCTAGAGGCAGGTTTTTGGCATAGCAACTTATAGGCTTTTTCTACTTGTGATAGCGAAAATAAATACATAAATAAATTCATCATAAATAATAAATTGACTTAATGCATTGAATCTGTAAAAAAAAATAAGGTCAGTTTGAGAGCTTAAAAGGAGCCTGATGAGGTTAAAAAGACAAATTACCTTTAGTAAAGAGCAGTTGGAGCAATAGATGATTCTTTCTTTAATCAATGACATTTTAGGAGTAATTATCAAATGGTAAATAAAACTTGAAATAAGCTGATAAACTATAATTTTATATGAAAAAAATATTTCCAAGAACCATACAAATACATTTTCAGATTAAAACAAACAAAAATGTGGGTTTATCATCAGATCCGCTAAATGGAAGATTTCTCAAATGTGTGCTTGGAGCAAAAATAACACTTATCCCTATTTGAAAGTTCAAGATTTTTGAGCTTTCGAAGAAAACAGCTTTCCCTTCACTCTGTTCCACTCACACTTCTGACGATGGCCATGGGGCAAAAAGCCGCGGCGCTGGTGGGGCAAAAAGCCGCGGCGCTGGTGGGGCAAAAAGCCGAGACGCGCAAAAAGCTGCGGTGGTGGGGGGGCAAAAAGCCGCGGCGGCGGAGGCAAAAAGCAGTGGGAGCAAAAAACCATATAACATCGCGGCGGCGGGGGGCAAATAGCCGCGGCGGCGGGGGCAAAAAGGTGCAAAAAGCAGCGGTGGCGCGGGCAAAAAGCCACGGCGGCGGGGGCACAAAGACGCAAAAAGCCACAGTGGCGGGGGGGGGTGGGGGGGGCAAAAAGCCGCAGCCGGCAACAAGCCGCGGCGGCGGGGGGTAAAAAGCCGCGTCGGCGGCGGGCGAAAAAAAGCCGCGTCCTCAGGGGGGAAGAATCCGCGGGGGCGGGGGGGCAAAAAGTCGCGGCAGCGGGGGGCAAAAAGCCGTGGCAGCGGGGAGGCAAAAGCCGTGGGGGGCGAAAAGCCGCGGCGGGCAAAAAGCCACGGCGGCGGGGGGGGGCTAAAAGCCGCGGCGACAAAAAACCACGGCGGCGGGGGGAAAAAGCCGCGGCGACAAAAAACCACGGCGGCGGCGGGGATGCAAAAAGCCGCGGAGGCAAAAAGCCGCGGCGGCAGGGGGGCAAAAAGCCGCGGCGGCAGGGGGGCAAAAAGCCGCGGCGACGGGGGTGCAAAAAGCCGCGACGGGCAAATAACCGCGGCACCGGGGGGGCAAATAACCGCGGCGCCGGGGGGGCAAAAAGCCGCGGCGGCGGGGGTGAAAAAGCCGGGTCGGGCAAAAAGCCGCGGAGGCAAAAAGCCGCGGCGGCAGGGGGCAAAAAGCCGCGGCGAGCAGAAAGCCGTGGGGGCGGGGGGCAGAAAGCCGAGGCGGGCAGAAAGCCGGGGCGGGCAGAAAGCCGCGGCGGCAGGGGGTAAAAAGCCGAGGCGCGCAAAAAGCCGCGGCGGCGGCGGCGGCGGGGCAAAAAGCCGGGGCGGGGAAAAAGCCGCGGCGGAAGAGGGGCAAAAAGCCGCGGCGACGGGGGTGCAAAAAGCCGCGACGGGCAAATAACCGCGGCACCGGGGCGGCAAAAAGCCATGGCGGCGGGGGTGAAAAAGTCGCGGCGGCGGGGGAGCAAAAAGCCGGGTCGGGCAAAAAGCCGCGGCGGCGTAGGATAAAAAGCCTCGGCTGGCAAAAAGCCGCGGCGGTGGGGGGAAAGAGCCGCGGCGGGCAAAAAGCCACGGCGGCGGGGATGCAAAAAGCAGCGGCGGCGGGGGGTCAAAAAGCCGGGTCGGGCAAAAAGCCGCGGGGGCAAAAAGCCGCGGAGGCAAAAAGCCGCGGGGGCAAAAAGCCGCGGGGGCAAAAAGCCGCGGAGGCAAAAAGCCGCGGCGGCAGGGGGCAAAAAGCCGCGGCGGGCAGAAAGCCGTGGGGGCGGGGGGCAGAAAGCTGAGGCGGGCAGAAAGCCGGGGCGGGTAGAAAGCCGGGGCGGCGGGGGGCAAAAAGCCGCGGCGGCGGCGGCGGCGGCGGCGAGCAAAAAGCCGCGGCGGCGGCGGGGAGCAAAACGCCGCGGCGGCGGCGGCGGCGGCGGCGGCGGGGCAAAAAGCCGGGGCGGGGAAAAAGCCGCGGCGGAAGAGGGGCAAAAAGCCGCGGCGGAAGAGGGGCAAAAAGCCGCGGCGACGGGGGTGCAAAAAGCCGCGACGGGCAAATAACCGCGGCACCGGGGCGGGTGGGGGGCAAAAAGCCGCGGCGGTGGGAGGAGCAAAAAGCTGGGTCAAGCAAAAAGCCGCGGCGGCAGGGGGTAAAAAGCCGCGGCGGGCAAAAAGCCGCGGCGGCGGGGGGTCAATAAGCCGCGGTGGCTGGGGGGCAAAAAGCCGGGGCGGGCAAAAAGCCGCGGCGGGCAAAAGCCATGGCGGCGGGGCGGCAAAAAGCCGCGGCGACAAAAAGCCGCGGCGGCGGGGGGTAAAAAGCCGCGGCGGGCAAAAAGCCGCGGCGGCAAAAAGCCACAGCGGCTGGGGGGGCAAAAAGCCGGGTCGGGCAAAAAGCCACGGAGGCAAAAGCCGCGGCGGCAGGGGGCAAAAAGCCGCGGCGGGCAGAAAGCCGTGGGGGCGGGGGGCAGAAAGCTAAGGCGGGCAGAAAGCCGGGGCGGCGGGGGGTAAAAAGCCGAGGCGCGCAAAACGCCGCGGCGGCGGCGGCGGCGGCGGCGGGGAGCAAAACGCCGCGGCGGCGGCGGCGGCGGCGGCGGGGAGCAAAACGCCGCGGCGGCGGCGGCGGCGGCGGCGGCGAGCAAAACGCCGCGGCGGCGGCGGGGAGCAAAACGCCGCGGCGGCGGCGGCGGCGGCGGCGGCGGCGGCGGCGGCGGGGAGCAAAACGCCGCGGCGGCGGTGGGCCAAAACGCCGCGGCGGCGGCGGGGCAAAAAGCCGGGGCGGGGAAAAAGCCGCGGCGACGGGGGTGCAAAAAGCCGCGACGGGCAAATATCCGCAGCACCGGGGCGGGTGGGGGGCAAAAAGCCGCGGCGGTGGGAGGAGCAAAAAGCTGGGTCAAGCAAAAAACCGCGGCGGCAGGGGGTAAAAAGCCGCGGCGGGGAAAAAGCCGCGGTGGCGGGGGGGGGCAAAAAGCCGCGGTGGCGGGGGGGGGGCAAAAAGCCGCGGCGGCGGGGGGTCAATAAGCCGCGGTGGCTGGGGGGCAAAAAGCCGGGGCGGGCAAAAAGCCGCGGCGGGAAAAAGCCATGGCGGCGGGGGTGCAAAAAGCCGCGGCGACAAAAAGCCGCGGCGGCGGGGGGTAAAAAGCCGGGTCGGGCAAAAAGCTGCGGAGGCAAAAAAAGCCGCGGCGGGCAGAAAGTCCCGGGGGGGGGGGGCAAAAACCCGCATCCGGCAAAAAAACCGCGGCGGCAGGGGCAAAAAGCCGCGTCGCCCGGGGTCGGGGGGTGGCAAAAAGACGGGGCGGGCAAAAAGCCGCGTCGGCAGGGGGGAAAAATCCGCGGGGGCGGGGGGGCAAAAAGCCAGCGGCGACAAAAAGCCGCGGCGGCGGGGGGCAAAAGCCCGCGGCGGGCAAAAAGCCGCGGCGGCGGGGGGACATAAAGCCGCGGTGGCGAGGGGGGTCACAACAAAGCCGCGGCGGGCAAAAAGCCGAGGCGGGGTGGGGGGCAAAAAGCCGCGGCGGCAGTGGGGCAAAAAGCCACGGCGGCGGGGGGTAAAAAGCCGCGGCGGGCAAAAAGTCGCGGCGGCGGGGGACAGAAAGCCGTGGCGGGCAAAAAGCCGAGGCGGGGTGGGGGGGAAAAAGCCGCGGCGGCGGGGGGCGAAAAGCCACGGCGGTGGGGGGCAAAATAGTGGAGATGGGGTAGAAGGACGGCACAGCTTGGTATTGCTGGAGTGTGATGTGATAGGAAATGTGCAGCCAAAGACAAAAAAAGATGTAAGCTTGACTCATTGCAGCTAAGAACCCAGATGTTATCTTGAGGGTATTAACTAATAAGCAGTTTAAATCAGAATGGCATATTCTGATTTGTTTTTTGTATGTTCACATTTGGCAGGCATAGATACTGTTTGAAAAGAGGAAAGACAGTAGATAGAGGTAACAAACTTAAATATGTGCGAAGTCTAGAAACAAGAGACCAGGGGGATAAGGACCTTTCAAAATAAAATGCAAGATTTGAAAACTGATTGGCTGGGGCATGAGGAAAAGGCAGGTCTTTAAGGTCAATCCCTGTTTTGCTTTAAGTTGTTAAGGGTTGGTTTTATCACATATTGTAGAACATGTCATTTCAGTTTTGAACATCTTGAGTTAAATTGTCCTAACATATCTTATGAATTTGATTTTCTTCCCTGGGAAGCTAATATTTCAAAAACTGAAAGAGTATATAGATTTCCAACTTGTATCCAATTTATAAAACTATCTCTAGGCTGCTGATTTCAGGAGGAGGCTCATGAATATTCTCTTTGCAGAGAATATATCAGGAGTTAACAACAGCTTCAATATTTGTGGACGACCAGTTAACTAAGCCACCTCTTAGTGTATTTAGATGGGAAATCTTAGCTGAAGATATTCAATAATGAACCAACAGTGACTAAAAAAATCAACATTTAAGTATATTTCATTGTAATTAATTTGAATTGAAGTAGCAGCTAGTATTTACTACATTGAACAATGCAAATAAGAGGAAAAAATTAATAACTATCTCTAATACCACATGCCAAAATCCTCATCAATTTATTCTAGCTAAAGGAGTTGATCAGAAGCAGCAGTTGAAAGCACCAACTAAACCAGCTGGGGTTGGTTCACTGTCGTTCTCTCAGAACCATCTCTTCTCTGAACAAAACAAGTACAGGAGCTCATTGTGAATCTGCATTCTCCTTGCCTATTTTAAGGTTTTGATGTTGACACTAATTTGTGAAATCCCTCCTGTGGTGTGATATTTCGTTTTCCTTGCTTTCTGTTAGGACAAGAATGCTTCAGCTCTTAATTTAAAATTATGTTTCTCCCTCCTAGGTTGAGTGAACTTAGAATGCATTCTCTGACATATCCAAGTTTTTGTTAATATGAATTTCAGGAAAAAAGCATACTTAATTAGCTAAGACTTCTTATTCTAGGCTTGACCCTATGTTCGACATCTTTTGAATTTCTAGTTGCATGGGCTGCTCTCTGACACTGGTTAGTGACCTGGAAGCTGTATTAATGTTAGGGGAGGTGGTGTATGAGCATTAGAGGTATCCTTGCAAGGAAAGACTTGTCTTATCTCAATACGTCTTTTTTTTTTGCACACAAGAAAGTCAATGTTTGAGTCTTCTAAAATCTTCCTATTTCCAAGTTGCAGAGTACCATTGATTCCTAAACAAAAACCTAATTTTTGACTCAGAGACGTGGCGAGGTAGTGAATCACCATTATAATTTAACAATCTTCAAGATAAAATTATCTCTGATATTTAGATTTTGCCCAATTATTAAGATATTTGGGTGTTTTGTTAAGAATGGAAGACTCTTGTCTCTTGAGCAGAGACTATAAAGGCCTCAGATGATCATTTTTAATTTTATGCTCTTTTCTTTAACACCTTCAACACAGTTGGAAGCAGCCGGTATTCCCCAGAGTTGTTGTGTTTTTTAAACCAAATGCATGGTTCAGTGGTAGAAAACTGGGCAGATCCAAGCTGTTTTCAGTAAACACTTCATTTCAGGTGACCTATTTCATATTAAATAATCTCTAGATCCTATCTTCAAAACTAACTAGATCAGATAACCTACCCTGGATTTTCTCCTTTTTAGGGTCTGTGAGCTGCAGTCACTCTTGTGAAAATGATTGCAGTGACAAGATAGAGTTGTAGATGGGGAAAATGTTTTGACTAATTTAAGCATAGTGGTATTTCATATGAGAATTTAAGTTACACACATTTGAAAATTATAATGGAGTCTCTTGGCTGAGCTTTAAAAAAAAATAGCGTTTTGGCTAAAAAGGGAACTGCTACCTCTCCTAAAATCAGAAAGATGTTACAGTAATTCTCCATTCTCTAGAATTATCAAGAAGCACCTTTGTGATGATTTACTTTTGCTCTTGGGAGTGTGAGCCCGTGTAGTCGTGGAACCATCAATTAGAATGGTGGCTTTCTGATCCCAAAGTCATTCGTTCTGAAAACAATATTTTTCATAAATTTGAAAGTGAGAAGTTTTGATCTTGCCATTCCCACGTAACTCTCTTAATAAGAGGCATCAGCATGCTTCAGTGACAGCTGTCACCTTCCAGTGCTGAGAGTCATCTTTGAGTTCTCCATTTCACTCCCTACACTCCAATTTAGCTGCAGTTCTCTTGGCCAGTCCTATGAAATACATCCATGGCCTAACGACTTCTCACCACTACTACCACTCATCCTGACAGCATTCTCACCTAAGTCACTACCTTTTTTCTCTGGATTAGAGTAGCCTCCCAATTTATTTGCTCACATAACCTATTTATTCTACACAGTGCACCAGATACACCCCTTTGAAATGCAAACACAATCATGTTATTCTCTGGTGAAATTATCTCATATATTCCTATCGCATTTAAAATTAATTCAGAATCATCCCATGATTATCAAAACCCTACATGCTCTTCCACAACATGGTTTACTTCCAAGATATCTCTTCAACTTTTTTTTTCACTCTACTGAATTGGTGACTAATAGTCATATTTTTGCTTTTGCTCAAAAAGTCTTGACTTGTAAATTTTTCAGTTTCTCCTTTATCCACAGGTAACTCTTTCCTCATAAGGTGAATTGCTTGCTTCCTTGAGTTCTGCTCTCAAAGATACCCTTCATTTTCTACCTAATATTAATAACTTTAATCATTCATTATTCCATTACTATGCTCTATAGTGTATACAATTTCTGTTCTTTGTCATGTTATTAACTAAATTATTTGGTCCAGTAACGCATTCCATAAATATTGTGCACATAAAAATTGTGTTATTTTTATTCCTGTATGCTCAGCTGCCCAATAACAGTCTGATGATTAACATATTTGTTGAATGCACAAATACATTCTTTCACAAATATTAGTTTAATAATTTCATATTAAACTCCCTCTATACTTACAATATGAATTAGATAATTCAGAATAAACATTCCAGTGGAAAAAACTAAACAGTTTGTTATAAAACATCCTTAAAAGCATCAGAAAGTTAATACAGCAATGAAGAATTACAGGACCAAATTAAGAATGGTATGAAAGCCTGTTGGTGATGCTTATGTTTGGGTTATCTCTTTACTTAGAGTGACTATAAATCTCAAAAGAGAACTAAAGGGAGAAATAACCGTATCTACTAACAGGGTAAGGGTACTTAAACATCTCTTAGTAATTGAGAAAATTGAAAGAAAAGAAAAAAGAGAAAGGGAGAAAGAGAAACAGCGAAAGGGATAATGAAGGAGAGAAAGAAGAAGACAAAGGAAGAGGAAGAAAAGTAAAGAGGAGGGGGAAGGAGGAAGGAAGAAAGGTGAAAAGAAAGAAGGGTAAACTTTTTAATAACATAATTTATCCTTCTAGAATATGAATGTTGGTCTATTTGATGATGTCCCACAGATTCATTAGTCTCTGCTCATTGTTTATTTTTTATTCTTTCTGTTTCTCAGAGTCAGTATTTTCCATTATCTTCTCTTCAAGTTCATGGCTTATTCTGTGTGTGCAAATAGACTCTTAAATCCCTCTGGTGATTTTGAAATTTTTATCATTGTAGTTTTCCATTCCAGAATTTCTGTTATCTCTTTGCTGATATTCCTGCTTTTTAATATTTTTTTCTGATTCCTTTATTTCTTTGATTATGTTTTCCTTTTGACATTTGAGTATAATGAAGAGAGTTGTTTTAAAGTCTTTGTCTAGTAAGTTTGATGTCTGGGTTTCCTTAGGGATATTTTCTGTCAATTTATTTTGTTCCTTTGAATGAGCCACACTTTCCCATTCTTTGTATGCCTTGTAACGTTTTTTGAAAACTGGACATTCTAATAACTATAATTACTAAGTGGTTACTCTGCAAATCGAACACCCTCTACAAACACAGTAATGTTTTGTGGTTTTAAATTTTCTTTACTTATTATATTGTTAAGGATTTTTTTTTTAGTGAAATTTTCCAAAGTGATTTACAAAACTGTTTGCTTTATAAGGTGTGGTCACCGAAGTCTTTTTGTTTCCTTAACAAATGTTAAGCTAATGTTTTGACAGTGATTTTCTTGTATGTCAGGAACCAATCAAACAGGCAAATACAAGAAAAACAAAAAGGAAAACAAGTAATCATTGTCCAGCAAAATATGTCTCTAGGCCATGCAGACTGGCTTTGTGCTGGGTTCTTTAAAGCCGGCACAAAGTGTGTGTTCACTCTTGCACTGAGTGAAGTTCAAGTTCACTCTTGCACAGAGCTTGCACTGAGGGGAGGGATCGGCCAAGGTGAAAGTGTAGGGTCTTCTTATGACATTTGTCAACATGTGGCTTAACCTATGAATACATGTGACTTTCCAGACTCTCCCATGTACGTGAATGATTTTGTATGTCTTAGTTTTTGAAATACTCTTCTCCACCTTTTCTTACTGTGCTGAAGGTGATCTACTATATGTGTAAACTTTAATTTTTGCCCTAAGCATCTGTGGTTTGTTAAGTCTCCTTGCAGAGTTTCTTAATAATGTCCATTCCTTATCTGTTCTGTATTCAAGCAACACAGAAAAAAAAGCCTTTCATGAGTCCTTTAGGTATCCCCCAGACCAGTCAGAACAGACACATAATAACTTGCGGGTAAGATCTTCTCTTGTTCCTTTGGACCATGGACCAGGCTTCCTCACTGGGAACGTGGGCTTCTGACACTTCAAAACTGCCAATTTGCTGGGGCAAAGACAAGTTTAAAATGTCGTAAAGTTTTCCAGTTGTCTTTTTCTTGAGTCTGCTTTCACTTGGTTGTTGTAATCTTTTGACCATTTTCCAGAGTTTTGGCAAAGTTTGTTCGGACAGTTTCTCTTAGTTGTGTGATGTTTCTGTGGGGAAATGACAGATTGCAGCTGTCTCCACTGCCATTTTGCTGATGCTCCTCTTTTGTCAATTTTTGCTTCATGTTATTATGCTTTGTTATTAGTTCATGTATTAGTTTTCTAGGGCTGCCATAACCAACTAACACAAACTGAGTGCCTTGAACAGCATACATTTATAGTCTTATAGTCCTGGAAGCTAAAAGTCTGAGATTGAGGTGTCAGCAGGGATGGTCCCTTCAAGGGCTATGAGAGAAAGCCTGTTCTGTGCCTTGTTTCTCGCTTCTGGTGGTTTAGTGGCAGTCTTTGGCATTCCTTGGCTAATCTCTGCCCTCATAATCACATGGTACTCTCCCTGTGTGTATGTCTCCCTCTACTCAAATTTCTTCTTTTAATAAGGACATCAGTCATATTGAATTCAGGCTCATCTGATTGTATCTTAACTTGATCAGCTGCAAATAACCTATTTCCTAATGAGGTCATATTCAGTGGTTAGAATTTCAGCATCTATATAGAGGAAACAATTTAGCTCATATCTGTGCATACATGATTGTAATAGCTATGTCTTCCTAAAGCGTTGACCCCCTTTTTACTACAATATAAATTTTTAAAATCCTATTCACATTTTTAATAGTCTATATTGTGTGTTATGAGTATAATGAGTTCAGTGTTCTTATGATTGCTCTTTGTAGGATATTTTTTGTCATCTTTTTACTTTCAATCCGTTAGTATCCTTGCATCTCAGCGTATATTGGGATCACTTGTTTTAATCCGGTCTGACAATCTCTGCCTCTGGAATGGATTTTAATCTGCTCACATTTAAGATTATAATTGGTATAATTCTATTTATGTCTGCCATTTTACCGTTTGTTTTATATATTTCCAAATATTTTTCTTTATTGCTTTATTTTGCAATGCAAGAATATTTTTTAAAATAGGGAACTTTAGATTACTAATGAATTATTTTATTATATATTTTTGAGACTTTTTATTGTTGTTGTAAGTTTACCATATAGGTGTATGGAAAATTAATTATTCAAATCATCTTCCAATTTATACTATTAAACTTTTAGTAATACATAGAAACATCATTCTTATATAAATCATTTTTATTTCCTCCATTTTAAAGTATTATCACTTTACACATTACATCTATTAAAGTTACAAAGCCAACAATACATTTTAGTAATTATTACTTTACCATCTAGAGTGATTACCTTATCACAATACATTTTTCTTCCAACTACCTCCTTTTTGATGTTACTGGAAAATATGTTATAGACGTATTACATTTCTACATGTCAAATACTCAGCAATACATTATGCACATATTATTATCATTGAGACGGAGTCTCCCTCTGTCACCCAGGCTGGAGTGCAGTGACACAATCTCCGCTCACTGCAAGCTCCATCTCCCGGCTTCATGCCATTTTTCTGCTTCAGCCTCCCGAGTAGCTGGGACTACAGGCGTCCGCCATCACGCCCGGCTCATTTTTTGTATTTTTAGTAGAAACGGGGTTTCACTGTGTTAGCCAGGATGGTCTCGATCTCCTGGTCTCGTGATAAGCCCGCCTTGGCCTCCCAAAGTGCTGAAATTACAGGTGTGAGCCATCGTGCCTGGCCATTATACACATGTTATTTAGTAAACAATTTATTATAAAGAGAAGAAATGCATTTTTACTGTCTTTTATAATGTCAATATTACGTATATCAGTGCTTTTTTTAAAATGTGGATTCAAGTGACTGTCTTCTGTAACTTGCTTTTAGCCTTAGGAATTTTTTTAGAGTTTTTTTTTTTTTATATGGTAGGTCTGCCAGCAACAACTTCAGTTAATGTTTCTGTTTATCTGGCTAAGTCTTTGTGTTATTTTCATTTTTGAAAAATAATTGCTGGATAAGGAATTCGTGGCTGAGAGGTTTTTTTCCTTTGCATCTTTTGAATATATTATTCTACTGCCTCTTGCCTTCCATTGTTTCTCTTAAGTCAGCTGTTAATCTTACAAAACATAGGTGCTCAGAAAATAAACATGTGCATGAATATTTACAGCAGTAATATTCATACAGTCAAAAAGTGGAAACAATCCATATGCTTGTTGACTCATAAAGGGACACCCAATTTTCAGCTATAACGAAGAATGAAGTACTTATATATGGTATAATATTGGTGAAATTTGAAAGCATTATGTTAAGTGCACAAAAGGACAAATATTACTTGATTTGATTCACATGAAACATCAGGAATTGGCAAATCAATTGGGATATAAATCAGATTAGTGGTCATTAGGGCTCAGGGAAGCAGAATAGGGTGTAACCACTTTATGCATAATGGGTTTTTGTAAGGGACATGATGAAATTGCCCTGGAACATGGTGAATATACTAAAAGCAAGTGCATTGTGTGCTTTAAAATGGTTGTTATTACTTTTGTATTATGTGATTTTTACCTTAAAAAAAAAGAGAAAATAGCCTTACTCTATACATAATAAACTCAAGATATGTTACAAATTTACATGTGAAATCCAAAATACTATAATATTTAAGGAATAGCTAAGTAGAATAACACTGAAATTTAACATAATGAAGCATTTCCTTAAAAAAGGAAAAAGCACAGTAATTAAAAAGGGAAATATATTTAATATTTTTTCTCTCCATTAAGCATGCCATTAACTGAGTAAAAAATCAAGCTGCAATTATGTAAACTACATTTTCTAAAACCATAAAGAAAAGAAGAAATAAAAAGGTATTTGGGAAAAAAATCCAAAGGTACAGTCAACTACACAAAAAAAGCTTAGTCTCATTAATCATTATGAAAATGCAAATGGTAGCTGAAAGAAGATAAAACTACAATTCAAAGACAAAGCCTAAAATTTCAAACCCCCAAAAAGTCTGGGTTTTGGAGATCTGGGATGGAATAGGGTTCCTAACCTGACAACAATGAAAGAACCAAACTAACTTCAAAGTCATCACTTTATTTTTATAGCAACGAGGTTGCCAAGAACTGAGTCAAAATGTGAGGGAAAACAAGCACCTGCAAGGAGAAAGAGGACAGATGCACTTACATAGGACAGATGCAAATAGACACCACTATGACAAGTAAAGCTGGAATAATCAATAAATTCCTAAAGCAAAGTGGGGCTGGTGAGATTGGGAGACCGCTGACAGCTGCAGAAGTTGGGAAAGATCCATCATCTTGAAAACTTTTTCCCCACAAACCCACTGCGATCTCTCAAGCAATTGGTAAGGAATCCAAGAGAGTCTGTTTATGACACAGATCAGGGAGAGCAGAACACTTGGGAGGTGACCAGGTCTTGGGGGCCGAGCCCTTATGAATGGGATTAGTGCCTTTATAAAAGAAGCTCAATGGAGTTCTTGTGTGCCTTCCAATATGTGAGGACATAGAAAGAAGGCACCATCTATGAACCAGGAAATTGGCTCTCATCAACACTGAATTTGTGAGCATCTTGGCCTGAGATCTTACAGCCTCAAGAGTTGTGAAAAAAGAAATATCTGTTGTTTTTTAGTCACCCAGTTTATGTTATTTTGTTAAAAGAGTCCAAACAGACCAAGATATCACACTTAATATGTAGGGGAAGGCAAGAAAATCTGCCACACTTAGAATACTCCTGATGCTGGGAGTATGAAAACAGGAAAAACAAAACAAAACTGCTCTTGAAGGTGAAGGAGGAATATCACTGAGCTCACCAACACAGCCAGGAAAAGAACAGAAGTGTGAGAATGCTACATTCCTGAGACCCTGAGAAAAAGTACCTGCATAAGACTGAGATGAAATTACCTACTCTAGTTATGATTGAAATCCCAAAAAGAAAAGAGGGAAAAGTAATGAAGCAAAAGAAATATTTTTCAAAATAACTGCCAAAAATATTCTAAAAGAAGTGACAGAAAATCAAACTTCAAATATAGGAAACTCAGAGAATGTCAAATAGAACAAAAAGAAATAAGAATTACATCTTGAAAAATCTTTAAAAAATCAAGTCTAAATTTTATATCTTGCTCCAAATATTTAGAGATATAAATAGGTTTTCATCAAGATATGGAGAAAGCCATATCATGGAAACACTAAAATAAAGCTGTGGAAGGACTACATTGATATTAGACACAACAGAGTTTGGAACAAGCAATAGTATCAGAGATGAGAGATAATAGATAATAGAATAATCCGTTCTCAAGAAGATGTAAACATCCTACTAATTAGGGTATGCAGCTAACAACAGAACCTCCAAATACATGAGGTAAAACATGAAAGAAATCAAAGGTGAACTAGAAAAATCCAAAATTATATTTGCAGACTTCAACACTTTTGTCTTAGTAATGGAAAGACTAGGCACAAACTCAGTAATCATGTGGAAGATAAGAACAACAGTATCACCAACAAGACATCCAATCTTCAATGGCAGATACTCTTTCCTTTCAAGTGAAAAAAAAAAAAAACAGTATGGCATATTCTCTAACAAACACAGAATTTCTAATATTTGCGGTTTTCCTTCCTTCTTTCCATCTTCCTTTGTCTTCTCTTCCCTTCCCTTGCCTTCTTCCTTCCTTTCTTCTTTTCCTCTTCCTTTTTTCTTTTTTCTTTTCCTTTCTTTCTTTTTCTTTTTTCTCCTTCCTTCCTTCTTTCCTTCTTCCCTCTTATTCTTCCTTCCCTCCTCCCTCCCTTCCTTTCTCCCTCCCTTTTCTTCCTTCTTTTCTCGTATTCTTTCTTTCTTTCTCACGTTCTTGCTTTCTTTCCTTTTTTCTCCCTTCCTCCCGCCCTCCTTTTCTTCCTTCCTCCCTCCCTTCCTTTCCTCTTTTTCCCTCCTTCCTTCCTTCGCCTCTTTATTTTCTTTGTTTCATTGCCTTCCTCCCTTTTACCATTCTCTCTTCCTCCTTTTCTTCCTCCCTTCCTCCTTTCTTTCTTTCTCTCTTTCTCTTTCTTTCTTTCTTTCCTTCCTTCTTTCTTTCTTGTGTTCATGTTTTCTTTTTTCTCCCTTCCTGCCTTTCTCCCTTCCTCCCTCCCTCCCTTCCTTCCCTCATTTCCTCCTTCTTTTCCCTCTTTTTTCTTTATTTCCTTCCTTCTTTCCTTCCTTCTTTTTCTTTCTTTGTTTTCTTTTCTTTCTTTCTCTTTACTACAATTCATATTATTTTAAAAAAATTAAGACAGGGAGACAGAAAAATAAAGAACGCTTTAATCTGCAGGTTAAATAGATTATGTCTGCTGTAGGCAAAAGAATGGCCTCCCAAAAATTTTCATGTCCTAATTCCCAGAGTCTAACATACAAATATGTTAGGTTGCACGGCAGTGTGAAATTAGATTTCAAGTGAAATTAAGGTTGCGGAAAAATGATAGAGAGATTGTCTTAAATGGGTGGGATCAATGAAATCACAAACTTCCTTATAAGTGAAAGAAGAAGACAGAAGAAAGGCAACCTTGGGGGTGGTGGCATGAGAAATTACTCAACATCACTGACTTTTAAGATACAAGAATGAGGACCCCAGCGCGGTGGCTCACGCCTAATCCCAGCACTTTGGGAGGCTGGGGTGGGTGGATCACGAAGTCAGGAGATCGAGACCATCCTGGGTAACATGGTGAAACCCCATCCCTACTAAAAATACAAAAAATTAACTGGGCATGGTGGCAAGTGCCTGTAGTCCAAGCTACTCAGGAAGCTGAGGCAGAAGAATCACTTGAACCCGGGAGGCAGAGGTTGCAGTGAGCTGAGATCATGCCACTGCACTCCAGCCTGGGTGATTCCATCTCAAAAAAAAAGGAGATTCCATCTCAAAAAAAAAAAAAAAAAGAAAGAAAAGAAAAATAGGATATAAGAATGAGGTCATGTTCCAAGGAATAAAGGTGTCCTCTGGATGCTGAAAAAAATCAAGTAATGGATTCTGCCACATAGCTCTCAGAAAGACTGCAGCCCTGCCCAAAACTTGATGTTAGCCCTGTGAGTTTCATTCAAGTCTTCTGAACTACAGAACTGTAGGATTAACGGTCACTTTATTGTAAGATATGAAGTTTGTGGTAATTGGTTACAGCAGCAAGAGGAAGTTTATATTGTAATTGTATCAGGAAAATGAGAACCATAATTTACAACTGCTTTTAATACTGCACTTGGATGTTTGAAATCACGTACATGGAAATGAGCTCTATGTGCATGAGGGAGGATAGCAAATTGATGCCAAAATAATGCAAATGCAAATCTTACACTCATTTCTATGTAGGTTTCATTTAATCTTTGAAATTAAAGTGAAATTAAAAGATTGTGATATTTTGATGAAGTTAGACTAAAATGAACAATAACCAAATAAGAACTCACTTACATTCTTTATATGGTCAATAAAGAAGTGATAGTGGAAAAAAACAAGATCAAATGAAGGTGATGATTTAGGAAGTTGGAAAGATAGCTGAAACTACAAAATGGTATATAACCAGTGAACACTTAGACACACTGATTGATGAACTTCAGCTTTTGGCTTGGTGAGAGCATAAAATGAGAGCAGCTGAGGTTTGCAAATTTGTAATCTCCTTGTGGAAAAACAGGGGAAAACACATCTCAGCCTAATAAGATTTATCTACTAAAGAGTCTAGACTTGATCCATTTGTCCTTGTAATTCAAAAGCTAATTCAAATACTGATTTGATGTATTGTGTGAACAACCATTGCTGATTATCATCGCATACCTGGCATTCTCTTTTATCTGATATCTAAAATATTTGGTAATTCCTGGACTTTCTCTTTTCAAACCCAGTACGGTTTAATTTGAGTGTTAGAACAGTTGTCTTTGAGAAATTCTTCCCTCTACTGCATCTGTGAATGGGCATAGCATGGTTACATACATACTGTCACTCCATAGAACATTTGTTAAATTAAAGCCAAAGTTTAAAGCAAGAGCTTTAACTTACTGGTTTTACTAATGTTTTCCTCCCCAATAGCCACAACAATATTGATACCCTCACACCTTTTAACATAAAGCTTGGTGTTGTCTATTTTTCAGGTGCTGTCATCTATATGATCTCAGTATTTTAAAAATCAGCTTCCAGCCCATATGGTGGCTCATGCTTGTAATACCAGCAGTTGAAGAGGCTGAAATGAGAGGATTCCTTGAGCCCAGGAGTTCAAAAGCAACCTGGGCAACATAGAAAGACCCAGTCTCTATCAAAAGTTAAGAAAAAAAAAAAGTGGGCATGGTGATGTGCACCTGTTGTCCTAGCTATTTGGGAGGCCAAGGTGGAAGGATTGCTTGAGCTTGGGAGGCTGAGGCTGCAGTGAGCAGTGATTGCACCACTGCACTCCAGCCTGGGCAACAAAGCAAGACCCTATCTCAAAAAATATATATAATAAAAATAAAAATCAGCTCTCATTGATTTCTATGTAAATATGCACAGGTGATGTCCATATAGACATAAATAATAATATTTCTGACAATGGGTCCATATGATCTTCAAAATGTAAAATGCCTATCTGTGTAATTGACTGGTTAGTCTCATTAATGAATATAGATTCAATTCTACTTTCTTGTTCTAGATAAATTATATAATCTAGCTTTTCATTTCACTTATTTACTGATAACAACAGGAAGAATGACAAGATATCTATTTTGGAAAATTACTCTGGTAGGAGTAAAGATGAAACAATGATAGAATTGCACGGAAAACTAGAAAAAAGTATGGTCTTCTGATATTCTATCACATCACATACTAAAGGCCTCATAAAACTCAGATATTTTATCTAAAAATGTTATTTTCATCATAGGAATGATCAAAGCATGAGACTACAATTGTATTAAAATGTGCTTGTATCACAAGCACAGGTGCTAAAAAGGAGGGGAAAACATCCTTACTGATATTTTCAACGTATGTTTTACTTTTCATCAACATGAACCTCAAGTTGATATGATGCAGATTGAAGGAAATCACCCATAATTCCATATGAAGAAGGCCTGTGATATTTTATGGGAAAATAAATAGAGAAAATGCTAACAGAAACCCTATTAAGCATGAAGCTTTATGGAGTAAACACAAATCCAGTGGTGAATGATACACACTCCAGTTCTGTTTGTTGTCTTGGAACAATACGGTTTAGAGGTGACTGGCGGGTGAGGAGAACATATGCGAGTTCACCAAAGAGAAAAGCTGAATGAGGCAATGCCTCTTCCTGACCATATCTCTTACTCAGATAACTATATAATTTATTGTCCAGTAAAGGGTATATTAAAAAATCATATTAAAAGTCATGCAGTGAAGTTGTCCAGGGAAATCAAGACTTAACAGTCTCACTCTGACAATAATGAACAGGGGGATTCCCTCAAGATAGACTAGGACATGACCCCACACTGGCAGGTAGTAGTACCAGAAAAGAACCCATGGAAAATCTTTACCTTATGCTTGAGGTAGGGACCAGGCTAAAGTGAAAGCCAGACATAAAATTCTATCTAAAATAAATCCACAATCGAAGAAAATATGTGGTGTACAGGCATAGAATGTCTTTACTGGATCATTGAAATAGTAAGATAAATTCAACTTTTACATTGTTTTCTTTTCCTCCAGTTAGGGCTTGAGGTTTGCCTCTGGAGAGTGACCGTCAATTGGAGCCCTGCCTTTCTGGGGTTCTGATCAGGGGGTTGTGGATGCTTAACATGTGCTTTTCACAGGACACTTCCTTACCCCAGCAGTGGCCAGGTGTGCATCCCACGACCAGGCCTCCCTCTCACAGAACATCTGTTGAGACTAGGAGATGCCTGGTGACTGTTGCCTGACCTGTGTCCTGTGTATTTCTGACAAGAGCCACTCTCAGAGACCCTGGCCAGGAGGAGAGTTAGGTTCCAGTGTAGGTCAGCTCAGACACATGGAGGCCACAGAACCAAACATGGGAAATCACAGAAGTAGGTTTATTACTCACAGATCCAGAGAGAAGAGGGTAGCTGAGAAGAGGGTTTAGCTGTGTCCCCAGCCAAATCTCATCTTGAATTCCCACATGTTGTGGGAGGGAACAGGTGGGAGGTAATTGAATCATGGGGGCAGGTCTTTCCCATGCTGTTCTTCTGATAGTGAATAAGTCTCACAAGATCTGATGGTTTTATAAAGAGGAGTTTCCCTGCACAAGCTCTCTTGTCTTGTCTGCTGCCATGTGAGACGTGCCTTTCAGCTTGCGCCATGATTGTGAGGCCTACCCAGCCATGTGGAACTGTGCGTGTATTAAACCTCTTTCTTCTAGAAATTACCCAGTCTTGGGCATGTCTTTACCGGTGGTGTGAAAATGGACTAATACAGTAGCACACCTCATAGGGCTGAACAAAATGGGGAAGATGAGTGGGGAGCGGGAGAGAGAAAAGGGGTCTGTGGGACTCTAGCTTTTATTGGGCCCAGAACATTACCCAAATAAGTTTTCCACGGGGCACTAGTCGGTGGGGTGAGTGCCAGCAGGCACATTTCTTGACTCCCGCTGCAACCGAGCAGGTCACTCTGGCGTGTGGGGGCTGTCCATGTGCGCTGTGAGGTCTGTGGGGTGAGTCAGGTAGGTTGTATCCAACGGTTCCATAGCTGGTAGTCACCAGGAGGAGGCAACTGTGTAGGGTCAATATCTGGGCCAGCCACACTGAGGAACTGTGAGGGTTAGAACTGGAAATTGTCAAGGGAATCTGAACCCAGCTACCATATGAGAGAGTTCAACTTATGTTCAATGTGAATGCCATGGCAATATTAAAAGGTAAGAATTCGCTCCATACGTGCTTGAGGTAAATAGGAGAAACCTAGAATTTATGTAAACAGTGAGAAGATTGGATGCCTTTTCCATCACATATTTTAATACTAGCAGCATATTATATATGTCAATCCATCAGGCATTCAGAAATACATGCTTATGAAAATTTTTTGCACCATCAGACAAAAGACAAGGGTAGAAGACATTTGTAACCCTATAAACACTAGTAAATTAAAAACAGAAGGACCTTTATGTCCTAACATATCTGCGTTGTGAAAGGCTGCCCTGTGAAATACGGGATTTCTTAAACATATTTTAAAAATCATAGGTGTCAATATTTTTTAGAAATCCATTTAAATTTTCTCTTGCTATTTTACAATGCCTATTTATTTATTTAGTGGCTCTGCTGATTTTGATGTATATCCTAAACTTTATATTTTCTTTAAAGGATGTTTTATACAACTTTATGTAAAATGTTTCAGTATCTTCACATTCTCTCCCTGTCCTTTTGTTTTGCTCTTATATGGTGGTCTTGAGTCTTTTCTCTGGCTTTTCAAACCTAGTAAGACTAAGACACTAAAGTAACTTTGCCCGTGGTTTGGTAATGCCTTCTAAAGCACATCCTAAGCTCTCGTGCATACAGGGGTCTCCCTTGAGCTCTGTGCTTTTGAGATCCCATATACCTAAATTCCAGTACTCCAAATCAGTACTGCTCAGTTTTAGTTACTAAGTTTAAAAATGTCTTTTAATAGCAAGTTAGTTAAGTGCACTCTTGCTTCTTTCTTGACTGCTTGTATACGTGTATATTCCTTTAAATGAATCTTGGAATTTATTTAAAAGTTTTAAATTATACTAATGAAACTGTATATTGTTGTGAATTCATAAGTGAATTTGGAAAGAATTTGTCTTTATGACACTAAATCCTTTTTATCCAAGAATCATATGTGTCTTTATATTTATTCCAGTCTATGTTTATATCACTGAGTAAATATATAGAAATGTAGATACATACAGCTGTAGTTATAGATACAAATATAGATATAACATGTTAAATCTATATCTATCCCATATAACATATATACATGTCATATGTGTGTGTGTATATATATATATGTTTATGTTATTAAAGAGCTCCCTTAAAATTTTTCTTTTATTTCCTATATAATTTTAGGTCGAGCTTGAATTTTCCTTGTATAAACAAGCAAATATTTATACTAGTTTTAATACTGATGTTTAGACATTGTATCTTATTTTAGCATTGAATATTTTCACAATTATTATAAATATTATCTAATATTAATAATGTACCTGTTAAAAATATTTAAAATTTTACCTTTGAATTATTTTATTGTTGAATTAAAATTCCTTTAATATGATAGTAAATTTCTATTTTATGCTTTCTCTATGCATATGCAAATTAATCTATCCACTTCTCTATCTCTATGTAGTAACATATGAAAATCAGGCCTCTATTCTTCTAATGGACATACACATGTTTGCGTATAGAATATCAGACTCTTTATAGCATTTAAAATCTTTAAAGACATGAATATTGCCTTTTAACAAATATATTTTAGCATGTACTGAGAATCCCCTATTTATTTTTAATTTGGGCTAATCAATATGATTGTTAATATTAGTGGATTACCAAATTTGGAAACACACTTTCACCCCCAAGGTGGATATTTGTTTTATTTTGTTTGCCAATTTCTTGTCTTACTGTTTCAAATATTGTTGGATATTATTTTTATTTTATTTGGCATTTTAGTATCAACATTTGCAATTGATGTACTCTACATATTTTTTCTTCAATATCTGGTGGGTTTTATAATTACTGCTATATTGGATTTGTAGTAGACATTGACAAAAATTATTCCTGTATGTTTTATAGCTGTATGAGGGAAACTAATATATTTTACCCCTAAATATATTTCCTTGATATATTTCAAAATGGCTATTGAGAAGGGCTGGAAATGCAAACTTAGCTGCAAAGCTGTCTTGGGGAGATTTGCGTCAGTAGAGAATCTGCCTTGATGCAGCCAGGCTTTCTCTGAGGTCTGCCCCCTTGTCTGGATCTAGGAAAGGTTAACTGAGAGTCTGAGGTCTCCAAAGGTCTGAAAGAAACATTTTTTCTCTATTCTCTCTGAGGACTGCTCCCAGTGAGGTTCCACCTATGTAATAAGCCCACTGTCGCTAGCCAGGGTCGTTTTCTCACATAACCTTTTTTTTTTTTCCCTGTGATCCAAGACCCCATTCTTTCTGTAAACTTCATGTGGTAGATGAGCTTCTGCACGCATCGTGTGTCTGGGTCTTCGTTCTAAGGGCTCCAGTGTACACACATTGCAGAAACCTGTATGCCTTTTCTACTATTTATCTGCCTCCTATTAGTGATTTTCAGGGAAACTTCAGAAGGCAAAAGGGACATTCTCCTTTAGCCCATTCTCAGACAAAATCCCCCAACATTTAACTGATTCCTAATAGCTTAAAATCACTTTGAAAAATCCATATATTTATAACCTTTTCTTCCCTCTATGATTTCTGGTCAGCTTGGGTTTTGTTTTTCATTCCATTTACTTCATCCTCGAAAAGATCTATATTTATTCTCGTTTATGGACATTGAGAAAAGAAAATAACTTTCATGTGAGAAATGCAAGTCCTTTTAAATAATCAGGCCCAGAGAGATATTCAAATGAGACAGCAGTTCTGTCCTGCTCCTCTTTGAGCTGTGTGTTCATCTAGGCTGCTTGCAGTTGCCACAGTAGCTATAAATTAACCAATAACGCCACTCCAGACACTATAATACACACCCAATAATAGTGTAACAGTGTATAGCCAGTCACTAATAAATGTTATTTCCATAAGCCAATGAGAATTTGTGACAAACCTCTTTGGATCATCCCACTTCTGGACCCTTTTTTGCCTTTAAGAAACTGCTTGTTGCAAAGCTCCAAAGGGAGTTCATATCCAAGGATACGTGGGTCTGTTTCTTCCAGGCAGCTGTCCTCATTGTGGCTCAAGTAAACTCTTTGAATTACGTTTTGTGCTTCAGCCCCTTCCACTTAGATTAACAACATGGATTTGTGTCACCATGTACGGCAATTAAAATGTTCACACTTTTCCCCTCGAGGGCACTGATGTGTTTTCCTGAGCACTTGGAATAGCTACGTAGTGTTTGCTGTCTAGATTATGGTTTCTCAACCTTGGTGCTACTTAACTTTAGGACCAGAGGATTCTTTGTTGTGGGAGGCTGCCCTAGCAATGCTAGGTGTTTCGTTTGACCTCTAAATTTCACACCTCCACCAGTCTTGACATCCCCACAATAACCCTAGACATTGACAAATGTCTCCTGGGGAAAACTCTCCACCAGTTGACAGGCAAAGTTCTGGAAATGTTGGAATTGTCAATTGAGATTTTATGTTATCCAAAACAAATATTTTTCTTTGTTTTTAAACATCTACTTCCATCTACTTATCTACTTATTTTTACTTTTATTGGTAACTTAATTCCATCAAGGAGAGAGAGTGCATTTTCTGTTATGCTAAACTTTTGAAGAATGTATTGATTTTTTATGACCTGATATATGGATGATATGTAGATATTACATGTTTGTATTATCAAATTTCAGGGCGATAATACAATAAATACTTATAATATTTATATTGTCACTGTATATTAGTTATTTTCTTTCTTCACTACAGGAGTTTTTCAACCTATAGGCTATTTTTCAATTCTAGGTTATCCAGTAGATTTTGAAATGTTATGATTAAATATCTACTTCTCAAGCATTCATCTTTGCAAATAAAACAATCCCAAGCTCTTATAATGCACATCATATAAAGGGCAGATTAGTCAACGTATGGTTCAGAAATAATTATGTAATATTTATAATAAAATTAAAAATTTAGATCCTTAACTCAGATAACAATAATCCAAATTAAAATTTGATTTCATTACATAATTTAAAGTGACACCAGAATACTAGTAAAAATGTAGATTAGTTTATATCATCTTTTTTAGCTGTAGGACTTTATTAGCATAAATTCAAATACAGGAACCAAAGTAAGATTGAGACCTATAGTCAAAGGTTAAAATGTACACATTATAGGGGCATGATTAAACTAATTTAAAGCATAATAACATGGAGAAATATTGCAAAACATACATTTTACTGAATTAATTGTTAATATCTAATCATTATGTGAGAACAAAATTAAAGAGTAGCTACACAGGCACACACCCACACACAAGTGCAATATTGTCAAATAAACGATGTTCAGCTACACTAGCAATCACACCTGTGTTTTCTCCACAGAAAAGATTAAAAATCACAATAATATTTATTGTACATATGGAGGTGAAGATACTCAAAATATTACCCTAAAATACATTTTTTTTTTTTTTGAGATGGAGTTTTGCTTTTATTGCCCAGGCTAGAGTGCAATGGCACAATCTTGGCTCACTGCAACCTCAGCCTCCCAGGGTCAAGTAATTCTCCTAGCTCAGCCTCCCGAGTAGCTGAAATTACAGGCATGCACCACCACACTCGGCTAATTTTTTGTATTTAGTAGAGACGGGGTTTCACCATGTTGGTCAGGCTGGTCTCCAACTCCTGACTTCAGGTGATCTACCCACTTCGGCCTCCCAAAGTGCTGGGATTACAGGCGTGCGCCTGGGCAGCTCTTTGACATATTTCAAGATGGCTACTCGGAAGACTGGAGATAGCATCTTCTACAAGAATAGCTGAAAAGCTGTGTTTGTTGGGGAGGTTTGCATTTGTAGAGAAAATCTGCATTGATATAGACAGGCTTTCCCTGAGATACTCCCTTGTCTGGGTTTAGGAAAGATTAACTGAGCCTGGCACGTTTACATTTCTAAAAACCATTTCCTATCTATACTTCCCAAGAGGAGGGCTGCTCCCTTTGAGGTTTCATCCATGTAACAAGACCACCTCTGCTGCCAGGCTCCTCTTTCTTCCTTGTCGTCACCTGTCTTCCGCAAAGCCTGATTTACCAACCTACAGCTCTGTGTTTTCTGTAACCTCAAGACAGCATAGGCGTGTTGACTACCTTGCCTTTCCTGGAGTTTTTATATATATAGTATATATTTGTATATCTATTTATAATATACAAATATTTGTATAGATATATTTATATATATTATGTAAACTCCAAGTGCATACTTGTGCACATATCTGTAAACTTTTTTTCCTGTTAATTTGTACATTATCAGTTTGTTTTATAGACTCAAATAATTAAAGCTCCAAGGGAAAAATTTAAACTTTCCTATAGAGAAAAGACAAATATATAGGTGACAAATAATATTTAGAGGGTAAGACGCTTTTTAAAGGTATATTTGCAATTTGTGTCAAAACATTTAAATATACATTTGTTATTTTGACTATAAAATTTCAAATAATTTAAGCCAAATACATAGTATATGCAGAAAATTTAGCAATATATCTATGTGGCACCTTACTGTGCATTACTGTAACCAGCCGTCTAATATAAAGAATTAATTAAGGTAGCACCTACTTTTCAAATAGCGCATTTTTTTCACAGACCTATTAAATAAGACAAATAACATTTAAACTTTATTTTTAAATTTGCAGAATAGTAGTTTTCAGCAGATGGTTTATTTTAGCAAATTCCATCTTCACATTGTGCTATGCTTTTATGAGTTCCAGCTGTTAACGGATACTATTTTACTGCTGAAACTATCATGTGTGATATAATTGCTCATTATGTGTCTTAAAACACAAGCAATATAATTATTTTCAACTTGGAGCAAATTAAAATCTTATCAGCAATTTAAAAACTCTAGAGTCGTCTTCTTCTGGTTAATTATTTTAAACTTGTATTTTTCTCTTTATGTTTTTAGTGAGTTGTCTTATCAAGGAGAAGAACTCAAGCTGATTATTCTTTTTTTTTCTCTTCCATCCGCCTCGCAGGTGTGTTAATAATTTCATTTCTCAGAAAATGTTCTTTCATATCCATCTTACAAGATGAGAGACCTTTTAACATCTTCCATTCGGATGTGATACCAGTAATGGAAAATATTCCAGCTTCATGAATATGGTGATACAAATAGTTATCCGTCTAACCTCTTTCAGTGCCAAATGTTTACTTTACTCAGTGAATTACTCAGTTGACTGGTAATTTCTTCTGAAATCACTAATGAGAGGATCAGAGGTCTGGCTGTTGTCTGTACCTCATATGACTCCCAGTGCAGACAATTGTTTCTATGGAGCACAGACAGTTGAAAGGATTGACTTCCTGCCTAGAATAGTTTCTGCTGTGCTTCTTATCCTTCTTGTGGAGATTTCAGATTATCTGAATTGCTTTTCTATCTTGAGAAAAAAACGCAACAATTCTCCCACCTGAGAGGAATGTAAACTGTAGTAAGTTAGCTGAACCAATCCGTAAAATTTTCACATTGTTTGTTGCAAAATGCAGCGCTGGTGTCTCCATCACTAACCTTTTCTATCCCTCATTGCTCTTTCTTTGACTGCACTAGGATACCTCTAGGCAAATCTGTATTCCCGAGACAGAGTGCCCTTTTGGTGAGCTATAAGCACACTCAATGGTAGGCTGAAATACCAGCTTTTATCTATGGCGAAATGGAATCATATCAGTGATTTTCTTAAAAAGGAAATTTAACTCTTGCTATGGTTTGAATGCTTGCCCCTTCCAATCTCATGTTAAAATTTGATCCCCAATGTTGCAGGTGGGGCTTACTGGGAGGTGTTTGGTCATGGGGTTGGACCTTCATGAATGGATAATACCCTCCCTTAGAAATCTAAAGCTATCCTCCCTCCTCGGTGCCCTCAGGAATGAGTGTACCATTCTTTATTCACCTGTAATTTCCCCACCCATCCTTTTTGAGATATTAATTACATGTATGTTACACTGCTGCATATTGTCTGACGTATCAGTGAGTTTCTGGCTTTCTTATTTTAGTTTACCCTTTGTCCTTTAGTTTGTAAAGCTTCTATTTTTTTCTATAAATTTTCTGATGTTAGGGTAAAATCCATTACTTATTCAATCTCATGGAATTTTTATTTCAAATATTTTTTTTCCATCTATACATGTCACATTTTTCATTTTATAACTTCTATTTTTCTCCTATGTTCAATTTTCATTTAAGTACCTTGACATATATATGTATTTATCTACATGTATTTATAAAATATATTTACTTTAAGGACCTTGAAATTTCCTTCTTTTCTGTCATTTATAAATGACTTATTTTTATCCTGTTAATATATATCTTAATTATATATATCTTACGGCTTCTTTGCATGTCAGAGTTTTTTTTTTTGGGGGTATTTTGATGTTATGCTATTGAATATCTAGATTTTATTGGCTACCTTTGAACAATGTTGTGGCAGGCAGTTCAGTAACTTCAGGATGAGTATTTGTCTGTTGTTGTTTTAAATCTTCTCTTTAAACTTTGTGGAGTTAGTCTAGAGCCATCTGTAATTTGGAGCTAAATGAGCACTGTCACTACGGCATGAACCTCCAGTGGTCTTTACTGAATATCCTGGAGGTACAGAGGGGATTCCCTTCTCTGGCTTGTCAGAGCTAACGTGTCTTCCTGTCATGTGATGCCAGGGAAGTGTTCTTCTTCCAACTCCCTGGTAGAGTCCTTTGGCTTAGGGACTTGGGAGAATCCTTAGGCTGATTCTTGATTCCTTTTTCTGTAAACGTTCTCTTCTACTACACATTCCAGCTACTTAACCTTTTTTGATTTTTATCTGGTTCCTCAGTGCAATGACAATGTCTGCTCTCTCTGGGATTCCTCTCTACTGCTGTCACGGAGAATCTGGGAATAAAGCAGGACTCATTCTGCCTCCTTCTCTTCTCTTGCAGAGCAGAGTCCTGCGCTGCCTGATGTTCAGTACTTCAAAAAAATGTTCCATATATTTTGCCCAGTTTACTATTCTTTAACTCTAAAAGAGTAACTCCAGTCCCAGTTACAGCATCATGTTCTGTAACTCTACTCCTTGTTGCTTCATTCTGCCATTGTCTGGTATGATCGCCCCTTTCCCTTCTGTAATCAGGCCAAGAGCATAATATAATACTATTTATAACTGCACAGCTTGCCTCCGTTGTGTAAAAAAATCACTGAGACTTAACTGTGTCCAACTTTTAAAATGTGAATATAAGTACAACTAAAGCTATATTTTGGTTAATATTTGCATTGCATGCTTTTCCATTATTTACTTTCAACATATGTGAAATATGAATATAAATTATAAAAACTTTAAGAGAGTCCATTTAAAAAATCTGGTCTGGTTATATTTTACCTGGTTTAATACAACGTGCATTATTGAATTCAGGGTCTAATATAATTGGTACATTTGTCTATTTGCAAAAAAAAAAAAACTTGACAATATTTTAAAATTAATTTATCCAACTCACAACTTAAATGCTTCTGCCGTTGTATGGAGGATACATTTTAAACTTTATGAGATAGCATTCTGTTATACAGTCGATATCCAATTAAATTTCTCTCTATGTTTATTTCTTTCATTAAAAAAATTGTTCTAACTGCAAACTTTCATCAGGGATCATGGCTCTTCTACCTGAAGAATAATCTTCAGTATTTCTTTTCCTATGGGTCTGCTTGGGAGAAATTCTTTATTGTATCTTTGCTTTTGATGGATATGTCCACCAAGTAGACAGTTCTAGGTCAGCACTTATTTTATTTCAGGACTTGAAAGATATCAGTACCTCACTTGTTGGCTTTCGTTGTTTCATTTGAGAAAGTTGTTATCAGTCAACTCTTTCTCTTTGTAGTTAGCCCAATTTTTTTTATCTAGTGCTCTTTACATTTTTCTTCTACTTTTCGGAAATTGTCCCATTATGTTTCTAGATGTGTCCTCTGTGTGTCTTTTCCTTTGCTTTGAAAAGTCTCCTGAACCTGAGGTTTAATATTATTGGCCAATTTTTATAAAACCTCTAACATTGCCACTTAAAATGCTGTTCAGACAAGCTGTTTTCTCCTTCTTAGATTTCAACGTGTTAGATTATTACTCTGTTCTTCATATTTTTTAAATGACCTTTCTCTACTATTTTTTTAAGTTGGTTAATCTGTATTAGTGTATATTTTGTTTATTTTATTTTATTTTATTATTATACCTTAAGTTATAGGATACATGTGCACAATGTGCAGGTTTGTAACATAAGTGTTCATGTGCCATGTTGGTGTGCTGCACCCATTAACTTGTCATTTAGCATTAGGCATATCTCCTAATGCTATCCCTCCCCACTCCCCCCACCCCACAACAGTCCCCGAAGTGTGATGTTCCCCTTCCTGTGTCCATGTGTTCTCATTGTTCAATACCCACCTATGAATGAGAACATGTGGTGTTTGGTTTTTTGTCCTTGCGAGAGTTTACTGAGAATGATGATTTCCAGTTTCATCCATGTCCCTACGTAGGACATGAACTCATCATTTTCTGTGGCTGCATAGTACTCCATGGTGTATATGTGCCACATTTTCTTAATCCAGTCTATCGTTGTTGGACATTTGGGATGGTTCCAAGTCTTTGCTATTAAACATACGTGTGCATGTGTCTTTATTGCAGCATGATTTATAGTCCTTTGTGTATATACCCAGTAATGGAATGGCTGGGTGACATGGTATTTCTAGTTCTAGATACTTGAGGAATCGCCACACTGACTTCCACAATGTTTGAACTAGTTTACAGTCCCACCAACAGTGTAAAAGTGTTCCTATTTCTCCACATCCTCTCCAGCACCTGCCGTTTCCTGACTTTTTAATGATCGCCATTCTAACTGGTGTGAGATGGTATCTCATTGTGGTTTTGATTTGCATTTCTCTGATGGCCAGTGATGATGAGGATTTTTTCATGTGTTTTTTGGCTGCATAAATGTCTTCTTTTGAGAAGTGTCTATTCGTGTCCTTCACCCACTTTTTGAAGGGGTTGTTTGTTTTTTACTTGTAAATTTGTTTGAGTTCATTGTAGATTGTTGTTATTAGCCCTTTTTCAGATGAGTAGGTTGCAAAAATTTTCTCCCATTTTGTAGGTTGCCTGTTCACTCTGATGGTAGTTTCTTTTGCTGTGCAGAAGCTCTTTAGTTTAATTAGATCCCATTTGTCAATTTTGGCTTTTGCTCCCATTGCTTTTGGTGTTTTAGACATGAAGTCCTTGCTCACGCCTATGTCGTGAACGGTATTGCCTAGGTTTTCTTCTAGGGTTTTTATGGTTTTAGGTCTAACATGTAAGTCTTTGATCCAACTGGAAGGGATCCAGTTTCAGCTTTCTACATATGGCTAGCCAGTTTTCCCAGCATCATTTATTAAATAGGGAATCCTTTCCCCATTTCTTGTTTTTCTCAGGTTTGTCAAAGATCAGACAGTTGTAGTTATGCGGCATTATTTCTGAGGGCTCCGTCCTGTTCCATTGATCTATGTCTGTGTTTTTGTACCAGTAACATGCTGTTTTGGTTACTGTAGCCTTGTAGTATAGTTTGAAGTCAGGTAGCGTGATGCCTCCAGCTTTGTTCCTTTGGCTTAGGATTGACTTGGCGATGTGGGCTCTTTTTTGGTTCCATATGTACTTTAAAGTCGTTTTTTCCAATTCTGTGAAGAAAGTCATTGGTAGCTTGATGGGGATGGCATTGAATCTATAAATTACCTTGGGCAGTATGGCCCTTTTCACGATATTGATTCTTCCTACCCATGAGCATGGAATGTTCTTCCCTTTGTTTGTATCCTCTTTTATTTCATTGAGCAGTGGTTTGTAGTTCTCCTTGGAGATGTTCGTCATGTCCCTTGTAAGTTGGGTTCCTAGGTATTTTATTCTCTTTGAAGCAATTGTGAATGGGAGTTCCCTCATGATTGGGCACTCTGTTTTTCTCTTATTGGTGTACAAGAATGCCTGTGATTTTTGTACATTGATTTTGTATCCTGAGACTTTGCTGAAGTTGCTGATCAGCTTAAGGAGATTTTGCACTGAGACAGTGGGGTTTTCTAGATATACAATCATGTCATCTGCAAACGGGGAAAAATTGACTTCCTCTTTTCCTAATTGAATACCCTTTGTTTCCTTCTCCTGCCTGATTGCCCTGGCCAGAACTTCCAACACTATGTTGAGCACGAGTGGTGACAGAGGACATCCCTGTCGTGTGCCAGCTTTCAAAAGGAATGCTTCCAGTTTTTGCCCATTCAGTATGATATTGGCTGTGGGTTTGTCATAGATAGCTCTTATTATTTTGAGATACATCCCATCAATACCTAATTTATTGAAAATTTTTAGCATGAAAGGCTGTTGAATTTTGTCAAAGGCCTTTTCTTCATCTATTGAGATAATCATGTGGTTTTTGTCTCTGGTTAGGTTTATATGCTGGATTACGTTTATTGATTTGCATATGTTGAACCAGCCTTGCATCCCATGGATGAAGCCCGCTTGATCATGGTGGATAAGCTTTTTGATGTGCTGCTGGATTTGGTTTGCCAGTATTTTATTGAGGATTTTTGCATCAATGTTCATGAAGGATATTGGTCTAAAATTCTCTTTTTTGGTTGTGTCTCTGCCCGGCTTTGGTATCAGGATGATGCTGGCCTCATAAAATTAGTTAGAGAGGAATCCCTCTTTTTCTATTGATTGGAATAGTTTCAGAAGGAATGGTACCAGTTCCTCCTTGTACCTCTGGTAGAATTCGGCTGTGAATCCATCTGGTCCTGGACTCTTTTTGGTTGGTAAGCTATTGATTATTGCCACAATTTTAGAGCCTGTTATTGGTCTATTCAGAGATTCAACTTCTTCCTGGTTTAGTCTTGGGAGAGTGTATGTGTCGAGGAATTTATCCATTTCTTCTAGATTTTCTAGTTTATTTGCGTAGAGGTGTTTGTAGTTTTCTGTGATGGTAGATTGTATTTCTGTGGGATCGGTGGTGATATCCCCTTTATCATTTTTTGTTGCGTCTATTTGATTCTTCTCTCTTTTCTTCTTTATTAGTCTTGCTAGTGGTCTATCAATTTTGTTGATCTTTTCAAAAAACCAGCTCCTGGATTTATTAATTTTTTGAAGGGTTTTTGTGTCTCTATTTCCTTCAGTTCTGCTCTGATTTTAGTTATTTCTTGCCTTCTGCTAGCTTTTGAATGTGTTTGCTCTTGCTTTTCTAGTTCTTTTAATTGTGATGTTAGGGTGTCAATTTTGGATCTTTCCTGCTTTCTCTTGTGGGCATTTAGTGCTATAAATTTCCCTCTACACACTGCTTTGAGTGTGTCCCAGAGATTCTGGTATGTTTTGTCTTTGTTCTCATTGGTTTCAAATAACATCTTTATTCCTGCCTTCATTTTGTTATGTACCCAGTGGTCGTTCCGGAGCAGGTTGTTCATTTTCCATATAGTTGAGCAGTTTTGAGTGAGTTTCTTAATTCTGAGTTCTAGTTTGATTGCACTGTGGTCTCAGAGACAGTTTGTTATAATTTCTATTCTTTTACATTTGCTGAGGAGAGCTTTACTTCCAACTATGTGATCAAGTTTGGAATGGGTGTGGTGTGGTGCTGAAAAAAATGTATATTCTGTTGATTTGGGGTGGAGAGTTCCGTAGATGTCTATTAGGTGGGCTTGGTGCAGAGCTGAGTTCAATTCCTGGGTGTCCTTGCTAACTTTCTGTCTCGTTGATCTGTCTAATGTTGACAGTGGCTTGTTAAAATCTCCCATTATGATTGTGGGGGAGTCTACGTCTCTTTGTAGGTCACTCAGGACTTGCTTTATGAATCTGGGTGCTCCTGTATTGGGTGCATATATATTTAGGATAATTAGCTCTTCTTGTTGAATTGATCCCTTTACCATTATGTAATGGCCTTCTTTGTCTCTTTTGATCTTTGTTGGTTTAAAGTCTGTTTTATCAGAGACTAGGATTGCAACCCCTGCCTTTTTTTGTTTTCCATTTGCTTTGTAGATCTTCCTCCATCCCTTTATTTTGAGTCTATGTGTGTCTCTGCATGTGAGATGGGTTTCCTGAATACAGCACACTGATGGGTCTTGTCTCCTTATCCAATTTGCCAGTCTGTGTCTTTTAGTTGGAGCATTTAGCCCATTTACATTTAAAGTTAATATTGTTATGTGTGAATTTGATCCTGTCATTATGATGTTAGCTGGTTATTTTGCTCGTTAGTTGATGCAGTTTCTTCCTAGTCTCGATGGTCTTTACAATTTGGCATGTTTTTGCAGTGGCTGGTACCAGTTGTTCCTTTCCATATTTAGTGCTTCCTTCAGGAGCTCTTTTTGGGCAGGCCTGGTGGTGATAAAATCTCTCAGCATTTGCTTGTCTGTAAAGGATTTTATTTCTCCTTCACTTGTGAAGGTTAGTTTGGCTGGATATGAAATTCTGGGTTGAAAATTATTTTCTTTAAGAATGTTGAATATTGGCCCCCACTCTCTTCTGGTTTGAAGAGTTTCTGCTGAGAGATCAGCTGTTAGTCTGATGGGCTTCCCTTTGTGGGTAATCCGACCTTTCTCTCTGGCCGCCCTTAACATTTTTTCCTTCATTTCAGCTTTGGTGAATTTGACAATTATGTGTCTTGGAGTTTCTCTTCTTGAGGAGTATCTTTATGGCATTCTCTGTATTTCCTGAATCTGAATGTTGGCCTGCCTTGCTAGATTGGGGAAGTCCTCCTGGATAATATCTTGCAGAGTGTTTTCCAACTTAGTTCCATTCTCCCCGTCACTTTCAGGTACACCAATCAGACATAGGTTTGGTCTTTTCACATAGTCCCATAATTCCTGCAGGCTTTGTTCATTTCTTTTTATTCTTTTTTCTCTAAACTTCCCTTCTCCCTTCATTTCATTCATTTCATCTTCCATCACTGATACCCTTTCTTCCAGTTGATTGCATTGGCTCCTGAGGCTTCTGCCTTCTTCACGTAGTTCTCGAAACTTGGCTTTCAGCTCCATCAGATCCTTTAAGCATTTCTCTGCATTGGTTATTCCAGTTATACATTCGTCTAATAGTTTTTCAAAGTTTTTAACTTCTTTGCTATTGGTTTGAATTTCCTCCTGTAGCTCGCAGTAGTTTGATCATCTGAAGCCTTCTTCTCTCAAATCGTCAAAGTTATTCTCTATCCAGTTTTGTTCCATTGCTGGTGAGGAACTGCATTCCTTTGGAGAAGGAGAGGCACTCTGCTTTTTAGGGTTTCCAGTTTTTCTGTTTTCTCCCCATCTTTGTGGTTTTATCAACTTTTGGTCTTTGACGATGGTGATGTACAGATGGGTTTTTGGTGTGGGTGTCCTTTCTGTTTGTCAGTTTTCCTTCTAACAGACACGACCCTCAGCTGCAGGTCTGTTGGAGTTTGCTAGAGGTCCATGCCAGATCCTGTTTGCCTGGGTATCAGCAGCGGTGGCTGCAGAACAGCGGATTTTCGTGAACCACAAATTCAGCTGTCTGATCATTCCTCTGGAAGTTTGGTCTCAGAGGACTACCCGGCCGAGTGAGGTGTCTGTCTGTCCCTACTGGAGGGTGCCTCCCAGTTAGGCTGCTCGGGGTTCAGTGACCCACTGTAGGAGGCAGTCTGCCCATTCTCAGATCTCCAGTTGCGTGCTGGGAGAACCACTACTCTCTTCAAAGTTGTCAGACAGGGACATTTAAGTCTGCAGAGGTTACTGCTGACTTTTTGTGTGTCTGTGCCCTGCCCCCAGAGGTGGAGCCTACAGAGGCAGGCAGGCCTCCTGGAGCTGTTGTGGGCTCCACCCAGTTCCAGCTGCCTGGCTGCTTTGTTTACCTAAGAAAGCCTGGGCAATGGCGGGCCCCACTCCCCCAGCCTCACTGCCGCCTTGCAGTTTAATCTCAGAGTGCTGTCCTAGCAATCAGCAAGACTCCATTGGCATAAGACCCTCTGAGCCAGGTGCGGGACACAATCTCCTGGTGTGCCGTTTTCCAAGCCTGTTGGAAAAGTACAGTATTAGGGTGAGAGTGACCCTATTTTCCAGGTGTCATCTGTCACCCCTTTCTTTGACTAGGAAAGGGAACTCCCTGACCCCTTGTGCTTCCCGAGGCAATGCCTCGCCCTGCTTCGGCTCCCACACAGTGCGCTGCACCCACTGTTTTTCACTCCCTTAGTGAGATGAACCCAGTACCTCAGATGGAAATGCAGAAATCACCCATCTTCTGTGTCGCTCATGCTGGGAGCTGTAGACCAGAGCTGTTCCTATTCAGCCATCTTGGCTCCACCCCTCATTTCATTATTTCATCATTTAATCATTTCACTTCATTTCATCATTTCATTTCATCATTTCACACCATTTCTTCATTTCATCATTTCATCTTTTCATTTCATTTCATCATTTCATTTCATTTCACCATTTCACTTCATCATTTCATTTCAGCATTTCATTTCATTTCATTTCATTTCACCATTTCATTTCATCATTTCATTTCATCATTCCATTTCATCATTTCATCATTTCATCGTTTCATTTCACCATTTCATCTCATCATTTCATTTCATCATTTTATCATTTCATTTCATTTCTTCATTTCATCATTTCGTTTCATCATTTCATCATTTCATTTCATGTCATCATTTCATCATTTCATTTCATTTCAGTGATACATGTATTTAAGTGCTAATGTGATGCCCAGGAGACACCCTATTTCCCTTTGTAAAACACCTCCTTCAACAAAAGTCAACCTCTCATCGCTGGCTAAGTCTGCAGGGATACCAGCCTCTCTTCAACCACCCAGTTTGATTCAGAACCTCAAACAGCACCTCAGTTTCATAAAAACCTAAAACATAAACACAACACTTGGTTGTATGTGAGCCAACAGTTTCTTGTCTCTTTCTCTGCTCAAGGCTTAAGGCTGTGTCTCCCCAACTATGTTCAGTGGAAGAAAAGATCCCCTGGACAAATAAGTTTGAGAACTCTTGTTGCAGGACTTCTGAGAACCTTTAAAACACAAATCCTCATCCGCAGGGATCTTCAGGAGGGAGATGGCTGATGCAGCACAACATTCTTTCACAGGAGTATCTTGTAGAATACAGTATGAGATACAGAAAGGCTGCATTGAGTCTTTTTAAGGGCCTGGGCCTCTGTGGCATTGGTGTAGGAGCTCTCCAGATAGCATCTAATGAGTAGGAACATTCAGGTTGCTTTTTTTTTCCCTTACTGGCAAAACTGTGTGTGCATCATGAATGAAGCTGGTGTCCCTTATCCATATCAAAACTAAACCCAAATTAATTGGCTAAACTGGGACTCAACACCTCCAGGAGCCATGCAGAAGAAAGCCCCACCACACTTTAAAGTAGCTTACCTCATCATATTTGATGAAAGCAAAACGCTTGTGACCAGTATGCTGCTAATACAAGTCAACAGATAATGCTGTATGAAAAATTATTTTTCCTAATCATAGCTACCATAGTCCACATGTTGCATTACATTTTCTCTTTTTTTAAATTTTAAACACAGGTCCTTTTCTCTCCTTTTTTTAAATTTTAATTTAATTATATAAGACGGAGTCTCAGTATGTTGCCCAGGCTGGTCTTCAACTCCTGAGCTCAAGCGATACATCCGTCTCTGCCTCCCAAAGTGCTGAGATTACAGGCCTGAGACACTGTGCCCGGCCTTAAACACAAATCTTAATTCATTCTTACAATTATCCTGGGGTTAGAAAAATGGAAGGGGAAGAAAGATGGCAAGCAGGTAGGCTGACTTCGGCTTCATTATTTGGAAGGAGAGTTTGCTCGGTTAAAACACACTACTGCCCACAAAAGCCAAGACAACAGAAACATACAGACATATAAATAGATTTTATATGTCACAGCGTTTGAATGGAGACTTTTTCAATGCAAATGACAAACAGCTTTCCTTGGGAATAAATGACAACGAATTTTTTTTATCTCAACAGCTGTCCTGAGAGCACGTCTCTACATCTCTACCTGCATTCTGGAGTCAGGGAGGAAGCCAAAACGGACGAAAAGACACTAGATCAGCCGTGTCCAACCCTTTGACTACAAGGACTTTCCAGCCTATCTGTGGTGGTGGGTATCATGAAAATTATGCAGAAACCTTTTTTTTTTTTAAGCTCATCAGCTATCATTAGCAGTAGTGTATTTTATCTGTGGCCCAGGAGCATTCTTCTTCCAATGTGGCCCTGAGAAGCCAAAAGACTGGACACCTGTGCACTAGATCAAAAGGCTACTCCTTCTGGAAGCAATTGTAAAGAATTTCTGACATTATCTTGACATGAAAACCAATGGATAGTGAGACAGAATGCAAAATCTTCAAGAATTTTTCTTGTTGGTTTTTTTTTTTTTTTTTCAGTCAAGGTGTTGCTCTTTGGCCCAGGCTGGAATACACTGGTGAGATCACAGCTCAGTGCAGGCTCAAGTGCTCCTCCCACCTCAGCCACAGTAGTAGCTAGGACTACAGATGCGCACAACCACTCCTGGCTAATATTTTATTTTTTGTAGAGATGGGGTCTCACTATATTGTCCAGTTTGGTCTCAAACTCCTTGACTCAAGGGATCCAGGACAGGATAACAGGCGTGAGCCACCACACCTGGCCACGTGCATGAACTTTTAAGACAAATACAAGGCTCCACAAAAGTTAAGGTTTTCCCACCTGATTTCCAGGGGATCTTTTGGTGCAAGGATGAGAAACCCTTAAAAGTACACAGACAACTCCAAAGATTCAAGAGAGTTCATTTGGGCTGAGCCAGCCCACTGGGCAGACTGACCTTCAAACAAGGCCCACCCATGACATACACCAGATAGCTCTCCAAGAATCTCTCCAGTTCTCAGGGTCCCTAAGGTACTGGACAGAGCTAGAGAGGCAAACCCATTTGCTTCTTCCTGCACGAAACCCCTTGAGGTCAAGACCCCACAATCAGACGAGGATGGAGTGGCTCACCCTCAGTCAACAGGCCAGACTCAAGGTGGTATAATGTCTTAACCAAGCGAGTGGGCCTCCAGGTCTGACTCAGTGCTCCTTTAATAACCACTCTTTGTTAATTCTCCTTAACAGGGGTTCCTGGCAAGTCATTTCTCCCTCAGGCCTTCGGTTTCCTCACCTACAAGATGAGAGGGCTGCACCAGATGGAAAATCGGGGGGTAAGGGGATGTCCGCGCGCAGCCCACCCCGCCCACGGGACCCTCGAGCCTCCATCACAGTTCCCAACACGCACCCGCCCCACAAATCCTGCCCAAGGTGAGGGCTGGTCCCGGGTCCTCTGGCTGCCGCATCAGCGAGTGCAGGAGGGAGGAGAAGCCTCCAAGGGGGTGATGTGGGCTCAAGGATGCAACTCGGCCAGGAGTGAACTGGGGCCCAGAGGGAGGTGTCCATTCCGGTGCTGGAGCCCAGCCCTGGTCCCCGACCCCCTTACCTCCACGGTCCGTATCTCCTGCTGGGTGAGGTCCTTGGACACAGCGCACTTGGTGCGCAGCCCGCGCAGGCTGCCAACGGAGATGCCGATGAGCTTCTGGAGCTGCCCGCACTGCTGCAGTGTCCGGCTGGCCGCGGCCCCTGCACCTCCCTCCGCGATAGCCGCGTCACCCCCGCCACCGCCCTCCTTCTTCTCTCCCAACGCGGCCGAGCGCAGCGCTGCTCTATGCAGGCTGCAGCGGCCCAGGAGCAGAGCCCGGGGCGCCAGCGTCTAGGCAAGGAACGCCCGAACCAGGAGAGCTGGACAAGGAGCGCCCCTCGGCGCTGCCTTAGCCAGGACGCCGGTAGAGCTGGCAGCCGAGTCTGCCGATCCCGCCCTCAGACCCGCGGCGGTGGGGGCAAAAAGCCGCGGTGATGGGGGCAACAAGCCGCGGTGGCGGGGGCAAAAGCCGCGGCGGCGGAGGCAAAAAGCCGTAAAAAGCCGCAGCGTCGGGGGCAAAAAGCCGCGACGGCGGGGGCAAAAAGTCGCGGTGGCGGGGGTAAGAAGCCGCGGTGGCGGGGGCAAAAAGCAGGGGCGGGAAAAACCTGCGGCGGTGGGGGAAAAAAGCCCCGGTGGCGGGGACCAAAAGCCCCAAAAAGCCGCGGCGTTGGGTGCCAAAAGCCGCAAAAAGCCGCGGCGGAGGGGGCCAAAAGCCGCGGCGGCAAAAAGCCACGACAGCGGGGACATAAAGCCGCAAAAACCCTCAGAGGCAGGGGCAGAAAGCCGCCGCTGTGGGGGTAAAAAGCCGCGGCGAGGGGGGCAAGAAGCCGCGGCGGCAAAAACCCGCGGCGGGGGGTTCAAAAAGCGGCTGGGGTGATAAAAAGCCACGGTGGCGGAGGCAGGAAGCCGCGTAGGGGGCAAGGAGCCGCGGCTGCGGGGGCAAAACGCCGCGGTGGCAGGGACAAATAGCAGCAAAAAGCCGCGGCGCAAAAAGCCCGGGCGGTGGGGGCAAGAAGCCGCGGCAGGAAAAACCCGCGGCGGCAAAAAGCCGCAAAAAGCCGCGGCGCCGGGGGCCAAAAGCCATAAAAAGCCGCGGCGGAAAAAGTCGCGGTGGCGGGGGCAAAAAGCTGCGGCAGCAGGGGGAAAAAAGCCGCCGCGGCGGGGGGAGAAAGACGCAAAAAGCCGCGGCAGCAAAAAGCCGCGGCGGCGAGGGCAAAGAGCCCCAAAAAGCCACGGCGGCAGGGGCTAAATTCCGCGAGGCCGGGGGCAGAAAGCCGCGGTGGCAGGGGCAGAAAGCCGCGGTGGCGGGGGCAGAAAGCAACGGCGGCGGGGGCAAAAAGTCGCAAAAACCCGCAGTGGCGGGGGCAAAAATCCATGGCGGCAAAAAGCCGCGTCTGCGGGTGCAAAACAGTGGAAATGGGGTAGAAGGCCAGCACAGCTTGGCATTCCTGAAGTGTGATGTGGAAGGAAAAGTGCAGAGGAAGACAAACAAAGATGTAAGTAGGCTTGACTCAGTGCAGCTAAGAACCCAGATGTTATCTTGATGTTATCTATCAGCTAATTTTTTGTATTTTAGTAGAGAAGGGGTTTTACCACGTTGGCCAGGATGGTCTCGATCTCCTGACCTCATGATCCACGCACCTCAGCCTCCCAAAGTGATGGGATTAGAGGCATGAGCCACAAAGTGCTCAAAAAATCTATTAATTAAAAAATGTGTATGTAGCCGTCTTTAATCTACCATGTCCATTAGCAGATAAATACTATAAGCAAAATAACAACAATGAAAGAAACATAGACTTAGAGTAGATACTCTGATTTATTTAATAAAAATTTGAAAATAGACCAAATTACTCTGATAAAAAAAATCTGTTGCTATTGAGGATGAGGGTTAGTGTTTGGAAAGGGGCAGGAGAAGTATCACTATTTTTAGTAATATTCTATTTTCATACATGGTTATAAGCAAATACATGTGTTTCATTAATGAAGCTATCCATATTTAATCATTGTACTTTTCTGCATGTATGATATGTCAATAAATGTCTTAAATTATATACAGCAAAAATAGACAAAACCACAAGAAGACATACACAAATGTTAAACCTAGAGAGAAATTTGAATATAAGTAAGTCTCCGAATGACTAGTAGAACAAACCGAAAAATAGGATGGAGACGTTTGGAACAGCATGACTAGCAAAATTGACATATCTGTCTTTTAATATAGGCAGAAACATAGATAAAAAAAGGACTTGTCTCGGAGCATGATTTCTGAAAATAGTGGAATCGAGTTTGAATCTAGTAAGTACATATAAATAAATGTCTTAAAACTCCTCTTATGTTAGCTAATTAAGAAACATTATTGTAATAGACATTAGAAAATATTTTAATAAATTGAGTGGATTTCACACGCTAAGGAAATGATCTTACTTGCATTTGATAGTTCAATTAGATAGATATATACCTATAGGTAGTTTAAAATATTTGTAATAACCTTATATACTTTTAAAAAGCATTGATATCTGTTGGCACTATCTGGTCTATAGAGTACACATACCAAACATGATTATAGCTCTTCTGCTATAAACTTCAAATATCTAATTAATACAAAAATCTAGAATGAGACGAGTTCTTTGCAATTTTTTTTTTTTTTACCAAATAGAATATAGGAAAGATAGCTGCAAATATACCTGACACACTTATCTGTGAGTATGGTGGTAGCCTTTTTATTTTATTTTGAGAGAGGGTCTCACTTTGTCACCCAAGATGGAGTGCAGTCATGTGATCAGAGCTCACTGAAGCCTTCACATACTGTGCTCAAGCGATTCTCCCACCTCAGTCTCCTGAGTAGCAGGGACTGCAAGTGCATGACACCATACTAGCTAATTTTTGTAAAGATGGGGTTTCACCATGTTGCCCTGGCTGATCTCCAACTCCTGGACTCAAGAGATCTGGCCACCTTGGCCTCCCAAAGTGCTGGGATTATAGTTTTGAGGCACCGCGATCAGCCCAGCCTTAAAAAAGGCTGACTAGAGATCTTTATCTATGTATATCTATATCTATCTATAAAATAAACATATGTGTTACTTATATAAAAATATATATTATTAATATTATATAAAAATTTTTTTCAAGGTAGAAATATATAAAGAGGGTGCATGTAGAGCCTGGGGCATTGTGTAGTGAAGCTCAAGACCTCTGAAGAAATGCCCCTTGCCTCTTTTGTCTGGGCTAGAATCCGAGAAGGGAAAGCAGCAGATGCACTGGTTCCCAGGTTCTTGGCATCCTACAGAAAGAAACTTGTTTGAGCTAGGGTAGCGTTAAACACCCTTGTTCTTACTCTCCTGTTTTATGTAGTGAGCAGAGACTAGCTTCATGAGAACAGACTGTGACAGTCAAGGCTGCCTGTTATTTTGTGCAGCATTAATTGAGAAATTCTAGCACCTGAAGACCTCTGGGCCATTTGAGGGTAGGTGCAGGGGAGGAAAGGGAAGTTTGCATCCCTCCTGCTGTGGAGAGAACCCGTGGGAAGCACAGACCTTGTCCTAACTGAAGGCAGACCCCCTTGCTAACCAGCTTCTCATCAGCCAACCCTGGATGAGTTTCCATGTCTATTTACTAAATAATCCTTATTGCTTTTCTTCATATGGGCAAAGTATGGTTTACAGGGAATATTGTTCCTTTGAACACCCATTGTGGAAACCCCTTCCTGTTGTGGGAAAACAGGCTTCCATATGTGTCTTATTGGGAAACACATAGGCAATTTCTATGTTTTTACTGCATCTATTTCAGGGATATGAGAACTGAATAGTGACCATCAAAGTCTCACCTGATGTTGGAAATTGATCTGAGAGCGCGGAAGGACAGAATTCTTTCTTTGTTCCTGGGCAGCGGTGGTTGAGGGATCATTTTGTGGCAGCTACAGTGGCAATGATGGAGGCAGAATGGAGTGCTCAGTACGAAGACAAGGAGAGACTTGGCCTCACAATGGCAGCATTGCAGGGGTGCGCTCTACAGAGCATTTGCTCACATGGTTTTGAACATTGTCTCTAACTACATTGCTTCCCCAGTAGGTTGACCCATTCTAACTAACTCCTTTTCTCTTTAAAAAAGCAAACTTCATTTGTATGACTTGCAACTGTAAATGACACCAATTGGCCAGTTATCATTCAAATTCTCTGTTACTTAATCCTGCCTTTTCCTAACGTATGCAACTTTCCCCTAAAAAACTGGACACTTTGTTGCTTACTCATTGTCTTTACACATTTTAAAATGTTGCTTTATGCCCCCAATCCCTAACTACATTTTCAATGTTTTGCAAGTGGAGTCCATGTGTTCTTGATTTACATGAAGCTCAAAATAATGGTTATAGTAACTAGTACTTCATAATTAAGCAAAAAGCTCTTATTGAAAAATGACAGAACTATACATAGGGATGACAACATGGAGAGATATTTCGTGAGATCACAAATTTATGGTATGGCAGAAGTAGAACGCTGAGTAGAGACTCTGTGTTCCCAATCATTATTTCTACCACCAGCTTTCTATTTGGATGTTAATAATGTTCTTATGTGGACAACCCTACATATTTGCCAATGTTTAGTTCATTGACAAAGAAATATAAAGAGCTTCAAGAACACTCTAATCTTTAAAAAATAAAATATCTATAATTGGCCATATGAAAAAATTGGTACTTGACATATACTGAGATCGTTTTATTTTGTGCTAGACAAATGAAGTCATAGAACAGAATGTGCTTTAAATATTATGAATAGTGCTTGCGTGTGTGTGTGTGTGTGTGTGTGTGTGTCTATAGATGCATATTAGGCCGCTGAAAAGTTTTATTAGTCTTTCCAGGAGAGAGACTGCCAACTTTTGAACCTAACTAGAACAAGTATATTGCTTCTTCATATTTTTATTAAGGCAAAGAGAGTCTAGTTAAAAATAATTCAACTTATCGTGGAAATGCTATAAATTGCTGTGAAGTGAGTTGCTGGCTATGGCTTGTCAGAGCAAATATATTGTACAAATCTTAGGGGAGAATTAGTGCTTATGCATTCAAATCAAATCATCTTGCAGCACACTGAGAAAAAGGTTAGATTTTTAAGATAATTTCAAAGTCATGAAAAGAGCAAATATGCTCCACAAAGAGCCTAGCAACCCTCAATGACCAATTCCCCTTTTATATAGTTTGGTATCTGAATTAGAATCCCAGAATCTACAAATTCCTCTGGGTGTGGGTGCTGCATTTTAAGGATTTTATAACACTGCCATCACCAAGCTCTCTTTTGATATTCACTTTAAGGAGATAATTTACGGGCAACCAGAGAGCATAAACCAAAGTAGATATCTATCTAGATAGCTAGATACATCTCCATATCATTGACAGGATACATTCTGGCCGAGTGTGAGTACAACCTATGGATGTGGTTGGAGAGAACATGTGTTCCACCTCAATGGCAGATCAGGATTATTCCTTCTCATCTGCTGCAATGGCTCAATGTGTTAAGGAGAGGAGCGAGACAGCAAGAACCGCATTCATTCAGTCATACAGACCAAAAGGAGGAATGTCGCCCAGCCCTCTAAACTGACCCAGAACCCAGATCATGTCTCAACTGCTACCTCTCCTACTTAGAAAGAAGTAACTCCACCAAAGCAGGGTTCTGGACAAATATTTTTTTATTGATCATATACAAATAGATGAAGATGGACTTGGATGTTAAGAAAAATAATACTATACAAAATCGAGAGTAGACAGTTGCCCCTAGACTTAAATTAAAAGTGTGCACATTAGATAATTTAATCCAATGTATCAGGTAAAAACTTGAACAAACCTTTTGGCCTCTTCCTTAAAATTCAGGGAAGCATGTCCTCCACAAAACAGAATCAAAATATAAATAAAAGACTGCCTTAAGACGAAAGGAAACCTTACAGATGAAAAGAAGCCAGATGAGAGGCACTTAACTAAGAATGAAAAGAAACTGAGTGGACAAAATAATTATGAGAAGATGAACCTTCAAATCAGAAAGAGGGAAAAAAGCTTATTTGATACTATGGGAACTCAAAAGAGAGTGAACACAAATGTGAAAATTCCAAGAGTGAAGAAAAGTATCATAACTACATTTAGAGCATGAGAAAAAGTATACAATTTTGAGTAATAAGAACAGAAATCAAAAGTAACTATTGTATGCTGTATTTTAGTAGAGCAACACTGAAGAAGAAAGAAAACAAGAAATAATATTAAATATGAACATATGGAGAACAGAATAATATTTTTAAAATTTTTAGTTTCTAAGCTTATCTGAAATTTTAATTTTCTTTTCTTATGTAATACCAGAGTTATTAGGAAGGTATTATCTAATAACACTATTTTCAGTGATATTTTAAGTAGTTGTCCTAGAAAAATTTCTATCTTTTAAAAATGTATATTTAAAAATACATTAAATGTGTATATACATCAATCATATGTATCGATTTCTGTTTTTCTTGAATTGCAAATGAAATTTGTATTTTTGTGTTCCTGGAATAAAATAAACTCGAATGGGTCGTAATATATTATTCATGCTGTAATTCAACGTATTTGAATACTTTAAGAATGTTACATTTATAGTTAACAGATACTGACCTATAAATTTTCTGTCATATAATGATGCTGTGAGACAATCTGAGAAGAATTAAAATTTAAATTCATGTATTCCTACTTTTTTCTCTGTTCTCTAACTGTAAAATATTTTCATTACAGATGGAGGAACAAATAGATGTTAGATAAATAGATATATAATAGATCATCCAAAATTCTTATTCTTATGGTTTTATGTAGTCAGTATTTACCTCTATTTTTCTACATGTTTATCCTTCCAATTTAGTTCATTACTTCCTGCACCTTTGATGTCATATACATAAACAGGAAATAACACATGGTGGCTGGGATGTAGAGAGAGCCACAGGACTTGTGAATGAAATCCACAGGCAAGGATGTGGCGATTCCTTTTGCAATATTGGAGGGAATGCCAAACCCTATGTTTGCTGTGGAAAAGAGTATGGTAGTTCCTCAAAACATCAAAATGGTATTGCCTTATGATTCAGCAGACCCACATCCCAAGACAGCAAAAGAATTGAAAGCAGAGTCTTGAAAAAATATTTGCACATCCATGTTTGCAGCAGCATTATTGGCAATAGCTAAAACGTAGAAGCAATTGAACTGTCCAACAACAGATGAATGGATGAGCAAAACATGATATATACATACAATGGAAAATTATTCAGCCTTAAACGAGGGAAATATTCTGACATATGTTGCAACTTGGATGAAACTTGAGGATATTATGCCAAGTGAAATAAGTTAGTCAGTGAAGGACAAATACAGTATAATTCCATATGTATAAGGGACTTGAAGTGGACAGAATCATAGAGATAGTACAATGATGGTTGCCAGAAGCTGGGGGGAGGAAGAAATGGGGAAGTATTGTTTAATGGGTATAGTTTCAGTTTTACAAGATGAAACGAATTATGGAGATGGATGGTAGGGATGGCTGCACAATGTTATGACTATATTTAGTACCACTGAACTGTACACTTAAAATGTTTAACAGAGTACATTTTATGTTTTATGTATCTTACCACAATAAAAAAATAAAATACCTTAGGAACATTTTCCTGAAAGAGTCCACATAAAATTCATTTTAATGCATGTGTTTATGCATAGCTTTCTATTTTTCTCTTTTCTCTTTACATTCCAAATTAGAATATAATGCTAATCAAGTATAGTGGCTGCGTTTCTTTCTTCCTCTAGTCTGCAGGTAGCATACAAATGTAATAAAGTACTCATTCATGTCACATCTATTTATTTTCTGCCTTATACCAAGCTTGTGGGATTCTCTTAAATACAACATTTTTATACTTACACCTATGCAATACCCATTAGCATCGCCTTCCTAAATCAGGGGAAATTGAGTCTCTGTAAGGTGCAGTAACTTACTAAGATACAAAACTCAGCATTAAAGTCTGTATACTTCAATATCCTGCCCTCTTCTCATTTGTCTTTACTGCCTTTTATGTATGTGTTAGATGTTCAATAAATTCTCTTTTTTAAACTGAATTTAAGCCGTGGAGCAGTGTTTTGTTGAACAATAAATATGATATTGGACACTCTTCCTCCCTTTCATTTATGATGCAGTTCATGAAAAAGAGAAATTCTTTCACTGTGGTAGAAGCTTAAAATAATGAAAATGCCACTTTCTACATTAAACAGAAACTGAAGGGAATCAAGGTGAATTGCATGAGACATAGAAAACAAGTGGGAAATAAATCTAGTATAATTTCCCCTTTGTGTACCTTTGTTATTTAACATTTGAGAAAATGTTTCCCCCAAATATCTTCCCATCTTAATTCATGTCTATAAAGTAGACATTTATGTCTCACCTTGTCAAGAAGGGCAAACTCTAACAAACATTTCCCAAAAATTCTTCCTGCTAAAACGTAAGCTCAGTCTGGCTAGAAATTAAGCTCACTTCATAAAAATTAGTTGGTAGCTAATCTTTGCACACTGTTCTCTGAACCTGAGAGAAAGCTGTCCATCAGGCATACAAGGAATGACGGAAAAGATGACAACAGAAGATGAATGCTATGTCACTAACCTTCAAAGATGACCTGCCTTTTCTTTCAAATTCTTGATATCTTAAGACTTCATTAATTCATCTTTCTTTGCCCTTGGTTCAACATTGTGCTATACCAAAACTCATGTAAAACAATGATCTATTGTAATAAAAATGGCATTTTTCTTTCATGTAGATGCAAGCTCTCTGGCATTTTTACAATCAAAATAGTTCCGTTGTCAATTTTTCATTCTGTATTGGAAGTAATTGGTAGGTATTTCTGAAGGGATGAAGGTGTTTCTGTGTTCATTGTGATCCAAACTTTTTTTAGACCTAGTGGTGTTTGTAAAACAATTTGTGCCAGCTGACCAAGGACCACTGTGGCAGAAAGCAGCAAACTTGCATAAGATGTCACTGCCTCATCAGTTGGCTTTGAAAACTAGGGGCTATCAAAGACATTGATAGATGTAGTATAAGATTACAATCATATTTTCCTTTTGACAGTCACATTATAAAGCATGATGTATTGCAATTAATCTCAATTAGCTGATGACAATTAAAATTAATAGTTTATTATTGCTGATAAACAATCATGACTCTCCTCTTCTCAAATGTGCAAGTAATTCTTGTAATTTTAATACAAATTTGCATATTACTAATTGATTTAATCTCATTGTATTTGGTTCATGGATCCAATTTATTAAAATATTGATAATGGGGTAATGATTTATCTCCCCATTTCATTTACACTAAAAGACACAATTCGTACAATGGTCTGCAAGCCCATCATGATCTGCCGCATGTTAACCGCCAAAATTCTTTTATGTCTTCACCCTTGTTCTTACCAGTGGTCCTGTCCACCTCACTGTCCTCTGGACATGCCAACATGCTGCTGTCTTATGACCAAGACTCTAGTTAATTTCTTGGCTTTGAAAGATAGCCCTCCATATATCCATTGATCAGCTCATTCAACTTCCTCAAGTCTTTACTGAAACCTCACATTCTCGATGAGACCTATTCAGTATTTCAAACTGCCTCCCAGCTGAAACATTCCAAAACCCCTTAGTCTTCTGTGTATTTTTGAAAGGATTTATTGAGATATAATTTACATACTGTACAGTGCACACATTAATGTCTACAAGTCAATGGCTTTTAGTATATGCACAGATAAGTGGAGCCATCATCACAATGAATTTTAGAGCATTTTCATCACTTCAAAAAGAAACCCCACCTTCTCTAGCTGTTAACCTCTTATGCACTCATCCCCTACTCAATCCTAAGCAACCACAAATCTGTTTTCTGTCTCTGTAGATTTTCCTATTCTATTTTCATCTAAATAGAATCATACAATAGGTGGCCTTTTGTGCCTGGCTTCTTTCAGTTGGCATAATGCTATCAAGGTTCATATGCGTATTGGTACTTTATTTCTTTTTATAACTGTATAACATTCAATTTCATGGATATAACATTTTGTTTATCCAATAATATTTTTATTGACATTTGAGTTGTGTTCAGCCTTTGGCTATTTTAAATACTGTTGCTAAAAATACTCGTGTACAATTTGTGTTTGAACACCTCTTTCCAATACTCTGGGTGTATACCTGGGAATAAATTTCTGGGTCATATGACAATTCTATGTTTAATATATTTAGAAGCCATCAACCTATTTTCCAAAGTGGCCAGTTCAAGCCATAGAGTATCTAACTGTGGTTTTGATTTGTAGTTGCTTGATGAGTGATGCTGCTGAGTATCTTTTTATGGGATTATTGACCGTTCGTATATCTTCTTGGGATACACATCTATTCCTATCATTTATCAGTTTTGAGTTGGGATTTTTGTTACTGAGTTAAAACAATTTTTCTATATTCAAGATACATATATATGCAGACATATAGATATGTGTTTTTCAAATATTTTCTCACAATTTTTGAGCTGCCTTTTGACTTGCTTGGTTGTCCTTTGAAACACAAATGTCTTTAATTTTTAAGAAATTTTAAATATCTAATTTTTATTTTGTTGCTCATGTTTTTGGTGTTACAGCTATTTCTTTGCTAGATCCAAAATCCTGAAGATTTTCCCATATGCTTTATTCTAGCTGTTGCATGTATGTCTTTAATTCATTTGAGTTAATATTTTTGTATGCTTTGGGGTAAGTGTTCCAATTTATTATTTTGCAAGTGGCGATCCAAGTGTACGATGTTGACCCAGTTTCTTCAAAGACTGTCTCTTCCTCATTGAATTGCACATGGCATCACTGTAAGAATCCATTGACTATAGATACATAGTTTTATATATGGACTCTCAATTCTCTTCCATCAATCTATATATTTTTCCTTCATCAGTATTGTGTTGTCTTGATTACTGATGCTTTCCCGTAAGGTTTGGAGCATGGGGGTGTGAATTATCCTAATATGTTTTCTTTTTTCAAGACTATTTTAGCTATTTTGAGTCCCTTACAATCCCATGTGTATTTTAGAATTAGCTTGTCAGTTTCTAGACAGAAGTCTATTGGGATACTTGCAGGGATTACGTCATATCTGTAGTTCAACTTGTAAAGTACTACAATATTAAATCTTCCAATTCATGGGTGTAAGATGTTTGCTAATTATTTAGATCTTCTTTAAACAATAATTTTTAATTTTCAGAGTAAAATCTTGTATCACATTTTCCAAATTAATTATTATTTCTTTTTTTGATGCTATTGAAATTGAAGTGTTTTCTTAATTTCATTTTGGGGTTTTCATTGTAGATGTGTGCAATTGATTTTTGTATATTTATCTTGTATGCAGTAATATTGCTGAAATAATTTACTAGTTCTGTCATTCAGTGGATTCCTTAAAATTTTCTATATACAAGAATGTTATTTGCAAATAAAGTTTTTTCTTCCTGTTCAGTATGGGTGACTCTTATTTCTTTACTTGCCCATTTGCCCTGCATAAAATCTTCAGTACAGCGTTGACTAGAAGAGGTCAAAATATGTATCTTATTCTTATCTCTGACCATAGCGGGAAAGTATCCTTTCTTTCACCACTAAGTTGAATATTTGCTCTTGGCTTTTCACAGGTGCCATGTATCTGGTGTAGAAAGTTCTCTATTCCTGGTTCATTGAGTTTTTATTTTTATTTTTAATCATTAAAGCATTTGGATTTTGTTAAATGTCTTTTCTGAATCTATCGACATGATCATGCAATTCTTGTTTCTTATTCTATGGATAAGATGTATTACCTTAATGGATTTTGGGGTGTTAAACCAACCTGAGATTACTAGTATAAATTTCACTTTGTCATAGTGTATAATTCTTTTATATGTTGCTAGATCTGATTTGTTAGTAGTTTTTAAGGAATTTTGCATTTATACTTATAGTAGTTTTATTTTTCTATGCTATTTGGACTAATTTTTGTATCAAGGTAACACTGGCCCCACAGAATAAATTGGGAAGTGAATATTTCTCTTTTAAAAAAAAGTCAGTCAAGAATTAATATCAATTAGTCAATACTAACAAATATGATTAATATTATACATTATTAATTTCTCTAATTTTTATTTTCTTCCTTCTGCTTGCTTTAGGTTTAGTTTGCTATTCTTTCCAGTGCCTTAATGTGGAAGGTTATCTTATCTCATCCTTTCATTTGTCTTTTCATTTTCGAAATAGTGTCTTTTTAGCATCAGGTGAGCTCCCCAGGTTGGTAGTACTCCATGTTTATTGCTGTACAACAATGACAGGTAATATGTCCTGAAGACAATGGAAACTTAACATTCAAAATCCTCCTAGATTCCAACTTATGTGATATGTCTCTTCCTTTGATTGGTCCTAATTTCTACCCTTTCTCTATTATAAACCATGAGTACAATGGCATTCAATGAGTTCTGTGAGTCTTTTTAGTAAATTCTTGAAACTGAAGGTGTTCTGGGGAAACCCCTGAACTGGCAGTTGGTGACAAAAGTGCGAATCATCTTATATGGACTCTTCCTTTGAACTTTGCAGCTGGACCCAAACTCTGCACAATTTGGGCCAGAAGTCTCATGTTGACTTTGCAGCCTAATTATCTTGTAGTTTGTCTAACCCTCAATAAATTTGCTTTCATCAAATATTGTATTTATTATCCCAAAATTACCATCATGTTTTTTTCTCCAAATAACTAACATTGGGAGAAATAGCCAGCTGAATCTGTAACTCAACAGAAACAAGTGATCCATCTACCATATAAGTGGCCATTTCATTTTGCCTCCTTCCACCAAATCTTAGCAACCTCAACCATTGCCATGAGCCCCTGTAGGCCTACCGTCTACAAACAAACCAGTATCTTTTAAAAACACTTCACACTCCCATTTGATAAATTTCCCAGCAAAGAGATGCTTACTTTAACTCTATGCAAGTGGCTCATATTCGCAAAGTCTGGAGACATTATTCATGTAGTGTGAGAAAATCATCCCAGTGATGCCAGCACATTCTCTTTCCCGTGATCTGCTTAGTTTGCAAACATATTCAGGCTGTAGGTGAGAGATTTGTATTTCACAGTACAACAATTTTATGGAGGTCATTGAAACTTAGATTTAGCAATTTTAGCACAGTCACGCATCACTCAATGACAGGGATATGTTCTATCAGATGCATCCATAGGCAGTTTCATCATTTTGCAAACATCACAGAGAATATTACAAACACCTAGTTTGTACAGCCTACCACGTTTAGGTTATATGGTATAACCTCTCTCTCTTAGGCTACAAACCTGTGTATACATTACTATACTGAATACTGCAGGCAATAAGAACACAGTGGTAAGAGTTTATGTATCTAAACATACTTAAACATAGAAAAGTGTGTAAAAATATGTATTATAATCTCATGGGACCAATTTTGTATATGTAATCCATCTTTGACTGAAATGTGATTATACATGACATGACTCTATGACAAAAATAATACATTTTTAAAAATGTACACATGTATCAAACATATTATTATAAAAATAAAAATATTTATTCAGTGTAAGAATTTGTAATGATCACAAAATATTCACAGCTTATATTTAAGTACAGTTTCAAATGCCTAGTGCAATTACCGTTTATTTCTTTGTGTATTTTAACCATGTATATAATAAATATTTTTCAGGTTCAACAATATATATCAATCCTACAGGCTCTTATAAATATTAGCTAAAATGAATTAGTAAATTCATGCATATATATGCATACCTGTATCAGTGAGCGTGTGTGCATGTATGTTTGTGTAAGTGTAATTGTATCTGTGTGTAAATGTAATTGGATGCATCCTTATATTTACCCTTACCTACAAGATTTCCAAGATTCATTTATGATCTTTAGATGATGGGCATTTAAAGATTTACTAAATACAACTGTAATAGTGGAAAATATCAAGATGTTATTAAATTCATCTTGTGCACATAATTGTTTCTATAAATTTATGTTTCTTGCAAAACTTGCAGTAATGCTCATGCACAAAATATTTTCTAAATAAAAAATAAAAACGTTTTCTCAGTCATTAATTATTAAAATTATTTCTCCCCAATAATTAATGTGAATTAATTCTTAATTCTTAATTATAGAATAATGTTGCCCTTCAGAGTTCGGAAACTTTTACATGTTGTACACATTTGACTAACCAGAACAACTTCCGAAATATTGGCATTAATTAATGTCACTCAGCAATTATTGATTTCAAAGGCATAAAATACCGTTCATATTCTGAATCACAAGGGTACTTTGGCATCTTATTTAATCAAGCTCTTTGTATCATCATCTACACTTTAATTACTTAACAAACATTTCTCTGTGTGAGAAAGATTGAGCAGTTTATTGTGCTTTTTTAAGATGCAACTTTTGCTTAATCTAGAGACAGGCAATGCTCCCTATAAGGGACAAGGAGAAAAATAAATGAGCAATAGAGATGTGACAGGCATGGAAAAAGACACTACATTTATCAAACAAATAAGGCCACGGATGACGATAATGGGGATCAAATCTTGAGATACTGACTCAGTTTATAACCGCACTGTATAATACAGCAAATCATTTGTTAACTTTTTTACAAATGGAATTTAATTTAATTAAGATGAATACAGTGTTTTAAACAAGGCAGGTCATCTTAAAATAAAATAGTGGAATAAAGTGATAAAACCAATGTAAAAATCGTAAACATTTTATAAAGAATTTTTGTCATGTAGTTTAATATTTTTGTTCATTTAAAATCACCCAAGTCAAAATAATTTTATCTTAATTAACAAATAATCATCAGAAGTTTAACTAATTTTTACTTTATAATACTACGTTTAAAAATTCTTAACTATATTTTTAATCACATATGCTTATATATAAAATAGACATAGGATATATATTTACATGTTCACAATATTATATTGTAATTGCTCCTATGGATGTGGTTTTTCAATAGAATTAATAAGCATTTTTAAAAAGTTTCAATTTCAATGATGTATATGATTGATTTTTCTTAGACAAAGCATACATATATTGATAGGTAATAATATGAAAATCTTCTAAAGGCATTACAGGAACACGAAAATGTAATTAAATACTCACTAATTTGTAATGTTTTATGTAAGTGGAACACATTTAACTGAAAATTGCTTTTATATAATACTCAAACGAGACTAAAAACTTTTTAACCAGCGGAGTAAGTCTTCAAATTGATAATCTGAACTATATAAGAGGAGAAACTTCAGGCACTCAAATATTTGAAATGCTACAAAATATTTATATAAACTATTATTTCACAATTTCTGTTTGTAGAGTGCTATACAGTATTCAACATAAATGACATCTCAAGTCTTTCTATAGCTTTGACCACATTTACCTCCTAATTTTAATTATTAATATGTTGGAGTAGTGCATACAACTAGATTCCGATCTTCCTTTTTAATGAGTAAAAATATGTCCTTTGAGACAGCATTAAAGAAAGAGCACCTTGTATAAATTCAATGCCTAGAGACAAGATATTCTTGATTCTGGAGTCTTGTTCTTTTATACAGCAATGTAATTAATAAGAAGAAAAGCAGGACATAGATGTGGAGCCTATTTTAATAAAAAATTGTCTACAGATTTTGATGATAAAATTTAAAAATCTACTATATTTAGTTAGTTACAAAAAACTAGGTTGTGGGAAAATATTTGGTCAATAAAACACCCCTACCAAGTGCTGACAAGAAAAAAAATTAGGTACCACCTTTCTTCTCTGCAGATGGCCTGAGATGGTTTAATTTGAAAGAATGCTTCCAAAGCTGAGGTGACCCCTGAGAACAGCATAATCCACTGCTGTCTCCCACATTCAGTTTCTCAGTTTGTGCTCTTTTAATTTTGCAGGGAGGGAAGCCAGCCCTTTAAACCAATCTTCAGCATGATGGCAGAGCCAAGGAATGCGGACAGGTGGCACGGTGTCTGACTTTGTTCCAGCAGCCACTTGGGCTTTCTCTGGATCTTCTCTGCCCTAGTGACAGCACCACTATTGAAAACATATCTTTGTGACATTCTCTATGCCAGGAACTCCCAACACATTTTCCTTGAAATTGATGAAATGAACAAAAATAAACCAAGAGGTGTGCTGTTTGTTTCTGTTTCCTCCTTTCTGCAGCCCTTCTTGATCATCTAATATTTTTAAATACATTGTTGATCACCAAAAGGAGCATAAGGGGTATATTGATTTGTAGCAGATGTATTAATAGCCCAGCCCCTATTCCTTACCTGTAGCTGCTGGGAAGAAAACCACTCTTAACACTCTACAAGGTCTCATCTCCAGAATTTGCAGCTGTTTCTAGCTGAGGACTTTCTCTAGCAGCATGGGAGCTTGATACTGGGCAAGTGGGAAGAAAAGGTGAGGATAACTAAGAAGAATCTCCCTGGATTCAGTGATGTAATTCTGAGGCATGTTCCACATAGCTTCCCATAGAATTAAGCCCCGATATCTAACACAGGAACTTGCCTCTTAACACGTGTGGTACTGGCTTTTCTATCTTTCCTGTTTTATTTTGTTCTCTCTTCCTTGTCTCACTTTCGCTGTGTCCTCACTCCTGCTTTAAGAATACCCAAACAAAAACACTCATTTTTTTTTAAGAGTCTCAGAATACAGTTGATAGTGTAACTTGTAATCTATGATAATCAGCTTGGATGCTGTACTGACAGGAAGATGGTGAACTCACAATGTCTAATTAAGATAAAATTAAAAAGTATATTGATTCATGTCAAAAGATTTAAAAAACCTAAGTGGCAGTGTCACAATTTCTTCTTTTTAGTTTACATGGTTTCTTAAACGCCTACAATTATTTTAAAGGAAGCCTTGAATCTAGGAAAAATTGAGACATATGGAATAAATTACTAACCCATTTCTCCTTGAAATCCATTAGATGCTTGATGATTTCTCACATATATTTCTGAATTGAAAAGCTAGCTGTGAATTATTTTTATATGCATATCCTTAGGTAATATTTTGTTTTTAACAGTGAATTGAAGGTTTAAAGATTAAATTATTCTATCCAGAGAATAAAAAGCAATTATTTCACAAGGAGAACATGTGTACGTTGACACGACATTTTAAAGTCTAGAATTTAAAAAAGGACCCATATACTTTTGTGTCAAATAGAATATGTTTGTATCAGTCTGTCTACAGTTTTACACCTGTCAAAATGTACTTGAACTACAACAACAACCTTGAACAATTTTGAAATTGATGATTCCTCTGAAACTGATTAAAAGAATTATGGTAGAGTGAAATTCTGATTGACATAATTTGGGAGAGAAATTATTCCTTGGACATCAACCTCTGCCAAGATAGTTTATAATGACATTGAGGCTTTTTGATTTACACAATTTGTTATATAAAAAATACTAAGACGATGGCAGATAATACACAGACTTTAATTAAAATTGTACTACAATTAAATGTCTAAATAAATTAGAAGGGTACATGGTACATCTAATTGTATGTTTATATATTTTATTTGTGCATTTTTTTCCTAGGGTTTCTTTTGCTTTAGTTTGTAAAACGTTCTTATGTTTATAATAATGTAGCATATACTAAATAAAGAAAAATCAGGAAATAGAAAATGAAGAAGAAAACATTAGCTATTGTCAACCAAACAAAAATTGTGCAATCTCTAAGCACATGAACTATGTAATATTTGTACAGCATAGTACAATGTTTATGCTTCACAGGGTGAGGTAGAGACTGCAAAACCTTGAACTTGGGACAAACAAGAAAGTAAGGAAATTTTCACAACATATTAATATTATAGAAAATGTTGAACTTAACAGTTAAGATACAAGTAGTGAAAAATGATAGTATTTAAGGAGATCTAGAAAATTTAATCTATACCTGTAATGTGTGAGAAGTATTAGAATAATGCTTGTATTTCTGGATTGTCATCGATTTCTATTGAGACTGGAAACATAATAGAAATGAGCAAAAAAGAATTTAAATTGTGGATACTTGAGTTTTATACCTAGGAGTTCCAGAAATACATTTTGTTACTATCAAAGCAGTTGGCACAAGAGGGTACAAAATTCCCTAATTGTGTCTATGTGGAGAAGACATAGACAGAGAATAGCAAAACAGAAATAGCAAAAAAAGCACAAATAAATTTTACCTGTATTTTGAAGTAAAAGCCAATTACAGAGGGAAAACATGAAATTTGTGTTTTATCAAAATTTTTCTCTTTCTCATAATATAGTTGAATATATTACTGGAAAAAATTTGAAGCACTGGTATGTTCACACATAAAAGTAAAATATAAGGTCAAAACCATGGGAATGCAGGGAGCAGACAAAATATAACTAAACACGGAAACTGATTTTTCCCTACGGACATGTAGCAAAATGAATGAGTGCAGATTCCTATTGTCATACATTACATAGGACAGTAAAAAAATACATAGATTTTCCCAAGATAGGGCATCACACAGGAGCTCCTCCCTACAGCTAAGACCAACATTTCTATCCTCAGTATAAGGAAGATCAGAGGTAAATTAGTCCCATTTCACATTCCCTGGAAATGGCAAATAAAAATGATTTGAGATTGGACGGATTTAAAGAAACTCAATCATTAATGATTAACAGCAACTAATTTAAAAATTGTTTAAATGTGCAGTCCAAACATATGTCCGAACACCTTTAGGCCAAGAATTAACATAATGTGGTCCCAGAATGGTGGTGCCTTTAGTAGAATCACAAAAAAATTCAACTTCTCTTTGGCAAATTTTCTACTTATTAATCTGCAAAAGTGCACAAAAATAATTTTCAGAGAAAAATAAATATTTGTCATTCAAAGACATCTAAGCATGCAAGGAAATGATATTCCACCATTTGAAAGGAAAGCAGAAAAAGACTACAAACAGATCCACAAAGGTTCATTAGTAGAAATATCACTGTTAGATTACAAAGCACATTTGCTTACAAAAAATTTTTTAAAAAATGAATATATTGTTAGGAGACTAAAAAATTCATGTAGCAAATTTGAAAAGAAGTTTGTATAAAAATGTAGTTATTTTAAATTAAAAACTCAAAAATGAATTCATCAGATTAGACATGGCCAAGGTGAGAGTTCATAAATATTTCAGAATGCATTACAGAAAATTTTGAAAAATGTAAAATGTGGACAGAATGATGAAGAGACATGGAAGATACAGTGAGAAAGTGTAGCATGTGTTTAGAGAGCGTTCTCATAGAACAAGGGAACTGGGAAGGGACAATATGTGTTGGTATTTTGTCTGAAAGTTCCCTAGACTTTTGTAAGACACTGATCTGCATATTCAAAAACTCCATGCATGCTAAGCAAGCTACAATGGAGATACACCTACACCTATGTATCTCCTAGAGAAATAGTAAACACCCATGAAGGGAAAAATATTTCAATTACCACTAGAAAAATGAAATTACTTTTAATCATACCGAAATCTGAAAAAATGAAAGGTAAAATAAACAATATTATTTGTTCAGAATAATAATGCCATTCTGAATTTCTAAACGAAGAAAAATATTCATCAACCTGTGGCTAAATAACATATTTAGAGAAAAAAACAAAACGCCACCAGCAGAATTCCACTAAAGAAACTAAAGAGAAACTCTGAAAATATGCTTCAGAAAGGTTGAAGTTCTGAAATCAAAGAATGAACACAGAGTAAAATTTATTGTAAACAAACAGATAGAACAAATAAGAAACTGGATGTTGAAACAAAAATATATTTAAAATTAGATAAGCACTGCAATATGTATGATAAAACGAAAATTATTAGGGCTGAAGTACTCAAAGAAATCTTAATTGTATGACAAGTGCAGAAAAGTGAGTATGACTTTGCAACACCTTTTCTTCTTCGAATGGAAAGGAAAGGAATGGAATAGAATGGAATGGAATGGAATGGAATGGAATAGAATGGAATGGAATGGAATGGAATGGAATGGAATGGAATCAAATGGAATTGAATGGAGAGGAATTGAATGGAATGGGAGATGAGATTGTGCCATTGTGTTACACAATGGGTGAAACAATGAGCCACTCTCGAAAGAAAGGAATGGAATGGAAAGCAAGGGAGTGGAGTGGAGAGGAGAGGAGTGGAATGGAGTGGAATGGAATCAGATGTAATGGAATGTAGTGGAATGGAATGGAATGGAATCATCATCGAATGGAATAGAATGGAAATATCATCGAATGGAATCAAGTGGAAACACCATCGAATGGAAACGAATGGAGTCATCATTGAATGGAATCAAAAGGCATCATCATCCAAAGGACTTGAATGGAATAATCATCGAATGGAATCGGATGGAATAATCATCGAATGGAATCAGATGGAATAATCACTGAATGGAATCGAATGGAATCATCATCAAATGGAATCGAATGAAATCATCATTGAAGGGAATCGAATGGAATCATCAACAAAAGTAATCGAATGGAATCATCGAATGGAATCTAAAGGAACCATCATCAAATGGAACTGAAAGGAATCATCATTAAATGGAACCGAACACAGTAATCAGCAAATGGAATCGAATGGACTCATGATCAAATGGAATCAAATGGAATCATCATCAAATGGAATCGAATGGAATCATCATCGTATGGAATCAAATTGAATCAATGAATTGAATCGAATGGAAAGATCACCGAAAGGAATTGAAGGGAATCATCGAATGGGATCAAATGGAATCATCGAAGGGAAACGAATGGAATCATCGAATGGATTCGGATGGATTCATCAGTGAATGGAATTGAATGGAATCATGGAATAGACTCGAATGGAATCATCATTAAATGGAATACAATGGAATCATCGAATGGACATGAATAGAATCATCATTGAATGGAATCCAATGGAATCATCATCGAGTGGAATCTACTGGAATCATTGAATAGACTCGAATGGAATAATCGAATGGGCTTGAGTGGAATCATCATCAAATGGAATCGAATGGAATCATCAAATGGACTCGAATGGAATCATCGTCAAATGGAATCGATTGGAATCATCATCAAATGGAATCGAATGGAATCCTCATCGAATGGAATCGAACGGAATCATCATCGAATGGAATCACCAAATTGAATCGAATGGAATGATCATCAAAGACAATCGAAGGGAAACATCGAATGGGATTGAACGGAGTCATCGAATGGAATCGATAGGAATCATCGAATGGATTCAAATGGAATCATCATCGAATGGAAACGAACGGAATCATCGAATGGACACGGATGGAATCATCATCAAATAGGATTGAATGGAATCATCGAATGGCATCGAATGGAATCACCATTGAATGGAATCGAACGGAATCATCGAATGGCATCGAATGGAATCATCATCGAATAAAATCAAATGGAATAATCGAATGTACTCGAATGGAATCATCAAATGGATTTGAGAGGAATCATCATCGAATGGAATTGAACAGAATCATCAAATGGACTCGAATGGAATCCTCATTGAATGGAATCGAATGGAATCATTGAATGGAGTCGAATGGAATCATCAGCAAATAGAATCGAATGGAATCATTGAAGATCAACGAATGAAATCATCATCGAATGGAGTCGAATGGAATCATCAAATGAACTCGAATGCAATCATCATAGAATGGAATCCAATGGAATCTTTGAATGGACCTGAATGGAATCATCATCGAATGCAAACGAATGGAATCATCATCAAATGGAATCACATGGAATCATCAAATGGAAAAGAATTGAATAATCATAGAAAGGAATTGAATAGAATCATCGAATGAAACCGCATGGAATCTTCATCGAATGGAATCGAATGGAATCATCATCGAATGCAATTGAATGGAATCATCATCGAATGGAATCGAATGGAATCACCAACGAATGGAATTGAAAGGAATCATCATCGAATGGAACCAAATAGAATCATCAAATGGACTCGAAAGGAATCATCGAATGGACTCGAATGGAGTTGTCATCGAATGGAATCAAATGGAATCATCGAACGGAATTGAATCGAATCATCATTGAATGAAATCAAATGGAATCATCGAATGGACTCGAATGGAAGCAATATCAAATGGAATCGAAAGGAATCATGGAATGCATTCAAAGGGAACAATCAAATGGACTCAAATGGAATCAACATCAAGTGGAATCGAAAGGAATCATCGAATGGACCGGAACGGAATCATCATCGAATGGAATCGAATGGAATCATCGAATGGACTTGAATGGAATCACTATCTAATGGAACCGAATGGAATCATCATGGAATGGAACCGGAAGGAGTCATCATCAAATGGAATCCAATGAAATCATTGAATGGACTCGAATGGAATCATCGTCAACGGGAATTGAATGGAATCATCGAACGGTCTCGAATGGAATCATCGGAGAATGGAATCGAATGGAATTATCAAACGGACTCGAATGGAATAAACTTTGAATGGAAACGAAGGGAATCATCAAATGGAATCGAATGCAATCATCGAACGGAATCGAATGGAATCATCGAATGGAATCCAATGGAATCACCATTGAATGGACTCGAATGGAATCATCATTGAATGGAATCGAATGGAATCATCGAATGGACTCGAATGGAAACATCATCGATTGGAATCAAATGGAATCATCGAAAGGAATCGAAAGGAATCATCATCAACTGTAATGAACAGGAATCACTGAATTGAATCGAATGGAATCGTCATCAAAAATATTCGAATAGAATAATCAAATGGAATCAAATGCAATCAACATCAAGTGGAATCGAATGGAATCCTAGAATGACATCGAATGGAATCCTCATCGAATGGAATCAAAGGGAATCAATATCGAATGGAATCGAAAGCAATCACTGAATGGACTTGAATACAATCATCAAATGGATTTGAAGGGAATACTCATTGAATGGAATAGAACAAAAACATTGAATGGACACGAATGGAATCATCATCGAATGGAATCAAATGGAGTCATCAAATGGACTCGAATGGAATCATCATCAAATGGGATCATCATCAAATGGAATCGAATGGAGTCATCGAATGGACACGAATGAATGAACAAATGGACTCGAATGGAAACATCAAATAGAATCGAATGGAATCATCGAAAGGAATTGAATGCAATGATTGAATGGACTCGAATGGAATCATCTAAAGGACACGAATGAATGGAATCATTGAATGGACTCGAATGGAATCATCGAATGGACTCAAATGGAATCATCATCAAATGGAATCGAATGGAATCATCGAATGGACTCGAATGGAATCATCCCATGGAATCAAACCGAATCGTCATCGAATGGAATCGAATGGAATCATCGAATGGAATTGAAGGCAATCATCATCGAATGGAATCGAATGGAATCATCAACAAATGGAATCAAGTGGAAGGAATCATCAAATGGAATCAAAAGGAATCATTGTTGAATGGAATGGAATGGAATCATTGAATGGAATTGAATGGGATCACCAATGAACGGAATCAAATGGAATCATCTTCTAATGGAATCGTAAGGAATCATCAAATACACTCGAATGGAATCATCATCGAATGGAATCATGTGGAATCATCGAATGAACTGGAAATGAATCATAATCAAACGCAATTAAAATGAATCATCATCGAAAGGAATCACATGTTATCATCATCGAATGGAATCATACGGAAACATCACAGAATGGAATTGAATGGAATCATCAGCTAGACTCGAATGGAATCATCAAATGTACTCCAAGGGACGCGTCAAATGGACTCGAACGGAATCATCATCGAATGGAATCGAACGGGATCATCAAAAGGACTCGAATCAAATCTTCAAAAGGACTCAAAGGGAATCATTGTAGAATGGAAATGAATAGAGTCATCAGACAGCCTCGAATGGAAGCATCATTGAATGGAATTGATTGGAAACATCGAATTCACTCGAATGGAATGATCATCTGATGCAATTGAATGGAATCACCGAATGGACACAAATGGAATCATCATCAAATGGAATCCATTGGAACGATCAAATGGAATCGCATGGAATTATCAAATGGAATCGAATGGAATCATCTTTGAATGGAATCCAATGGAATCATCGAATGGAATCGAATGCAATCATCATTGAATGGAATCGAATGGAATCATCGAATGGTATCCAAAGGAATCACCATTGAATGCCCTCGCATGGAATCATCATCATATAGAGTAGAAAGGAATCATTGAATGGACTGGAATGGATCCATCATTGAATGGAATCACCAAATGGAATCAAATGGAATCATCATCAAATGAAATCAAATGGAATCATCAAATGGAATCGAATGGAATCATCATTGAATGGATTCGAATAGAATCTTTGAATGAAATTGAATGGAATCAGCATGAAATGGAATCTAAAGGAATCATAGAATGGTATCGAATGGAATCATCATCGAATGGAATGGAATGGAATGGAATGGAATGGAATCAGCATCGAATGGAATCAAAAGCAATCATTCAATGGACTCTAATAGAATCAGCGAATAGACTTGAATGTAATCATCATCGAGTGGAGAAGAATGGAATCATCGAATGGACACGAATGGAATCATCATCGAATGGAATCAAATGGAATCGTCATCGAATGGAATCGTATGGAATCATCTAATGGACACGAATGGAATCATCATCGAATTGAATAGAATGCAATCATCATCAAATGGAATCGAATGGAATCATCATCAAATAGAATCGAATGGAATCATCAAATGGAATCGAATGGAGTCATTGTCTAATGCAATCGAATGAAATCATAGAATGGAATCCCATGGAATCAACATAGAATGGAATCGATTGGAATCATTATCAAATAGAATTGAATGGAATCACTGAATGGAATCCTCATCAAATGGACTCCAACGGAATCATCGAATTGACTCTAATGGAATCATCACTGAATGGAATAGAATGGAATAATCAAATGGAAACGAATGGAATCATCATCGAATGGAATCGAATGGAATCATCGAATGGAATCGAATGGAATCATGGTCGAACGGAAAATAAGGGAATCATCAAGTGGACACGAATGGAATCAACATCTAATGGAATGGAATGGAATCATCAAATGGAATGGAATGGAATCATCATCGAATGGAATCAAATGGAATCATCAAACGGAATCAAATGGAATCATCAATGAATGGAATCAAATGGTATCATGGAATGGAATTGAATGGAATCGTCTTTGAGTGGAATCTAAAGGAATCACCGAATGGACTCCAATCATCGGATGGAATAAAGTGGAATCATCGAGTGTAGTTGAATGCAATCATCATCGAATGGAACTGAATGGAATCAACGAATGGAATAGAAAGGAATCGTAGAAGGGACGCGAATGGAATCATCATTGAATGGAATCAAATGGAATCATCATGGAATGGAATTGAATGGAATTATCGAATGGACTCGAAAGGAATTGTGCTCGAATGGAATCTAATGGAATCATCAAATGGACTCAAATGGAATCATCATCGAATGAAATCATATGGAATCATCGAATGCAACTGAATGGAATCATTGAGTGGACTTGAAAGGAATTATTATGGAATGGAATTGAATGGAATCATTGAATGGACTTGAAAGGAATCATCATCAAGTGGAATCGAATGGAATCATTGAATGGACTCGAATTGAATCTTTGAATGGAATCGAATGGAATCGAATGGAATCATCATTGAATGGAGTCAAATGGAATCATCATCAAATGGAATTGAATGGAATCTTCATTGAATCGACTCGAAAGGAATCATCATCAATTGGAATCTAATCGAATCATCAATGAAGGGAATCGAATGGAAGCATCATCGAATGGAATCGAATGGAATCATCAACAAGTGGAAACGAATGAAATCATTGAATGGAATCCAATGGTGTCATCGAATGGACACGAAAGGAATCATCGAATGGAATCAAATGGAATCACCATCGAATGGAATCCAATGGAATCACGATCGAATGGAATGTTATGAAATCATCTCATGGAATCGAAGGGAATCATCATCGAATGGAATCGAATGGAATCATTGAATGAAAAGGAAAGGAATCACCATCGAATGGAATGTTATGGAATCTTCTAATGGACTGGAAGGCAATCATCATCGAATGGCATCGAATGGAATCATCGACTGGAAAAGAATGGAATCATCATCGAATGGAAATGAATAGAATCACAGAATGAAATCGAATGGAATCATCATCGAATGGAGTCTAATGGAATAATCATCGAATGGAATAGAATGGAATCATCGAGTGGACACGAATGGAATCATCATTGAATGGAATCGAATAGAATCATCATATGGACTTGAATGGAAACAACATCGAATGGAATCGAATTTAGTCATTGAATTGCATTGAGTGGAATCATCATTGAATGGAGTCTAAGGAAATCATCGAACGGACTCGAGTGGAATCATCGAATGGACTCGAGGGGAATCATCATCGAATGGAATCGACTGTAATCATCGATTGGACTCGAATAGAATCATCATTGAATGGAATCGAATGGAATCAACGAATGGACTCGAATAGAATCATCATCGAATGGAATCGAAATCAAAGAATGGACTCTAATGGAGTCATCATCAAATGGAATCTAATAGAATCATCTAATGGACCTGAAAGGAATCATCATTGAATGGAATGGAATGGAATCATCGAATGGACTCGAATGGAATCATCATCGAATGGAATCTAATGGAATCATTGAATGGACTCGAATGGAATAATCGAATGGGCTTGAGTGGAATCATCATCAAATGGAATCGAATGGAATCATCAAATGGACTCGAATGGAAACATAGTCAAATGGAATCGAATGGAATCATCATCAAATGGAATCGAATGGAATCCTCATCGAATGGAATCGAACGGAATCATCATGGAATGGAATCACAAAATTGAATCGAATGGAATGATCATCAAAGACAATCGAAGGGAAACATCGAATGGGATTGAACGGAGTCATCGAATGGAATCGATAGGAATCATCGAATGGATTCAAATGGAATCATCATCGAATGGAAACGAACGGAATCATCGAATGGACAGGAATGGAATCATCATCAAATAGGATTGAATGGAATCATCCAATGGCATCGAATGGAATCACCATTGAATGGAATCGAATGGAATCATCGAATGGCATCGAATGGAATCGTCATCGAATAAAATCAAATGGAATAATCGAATGTACTCGAATGGAATCATCAAATGGATTTGAGAGGAATCATCATCGAATGGAATTGAACAGAATCATCAAAAGGACTCGAATGGAATCCTCATTGAATGGAATCGAATGGAATCGTTGAATGGAGTCGAATGGAATCATCAGCAAATGGAATCGAATGGAATCATTGAATATCAACGAATGGAGTCATCATCGAATGGAGTCGAATGGAATCATCAAATGAACTCGAATGCAATCATCATAGAATGGAATCGAATGGAATCTTTGAATGGACCTGAATGGAATCATCATCGAATGCAAACGAATGGAATCATCATCAAATGGAATCACATGGAATCATCAAATGGAAAAGAATTGAATAATCATAGAAAGGAATTGAATGGAATCATCGAATGAAACCGAATGGAATCATCATCGAATGCAATCGAATGGAATCATCATCGAATGGAATCGAATGGAATCACCAACGAATGGAATTCAAAGGAATCATCATCGAATGGAACCAAATAGAATCATCAAATGGACTCGAAAGGAATCATCGAATGGACTCGAATGGAGTTGTCATCGAATGGAGTCAAATGGAATCATCGGACGGAATTGAATCGAATCATCATTGAATGAAATCGAATGGAATCATCGAATGGACTCGAATGGAAGCAATATCAAATGGAATCGAAAGGAATCATGGAATGCAGTCAAAGGGAATAATCAAATGGACTCAAATGGAATCAACATCAAGTTTAATCGAAAGGAAACATCGAATGGACCGGAATGGAATCATCATCGAATGGAATCGAATGGAATCATCGAATGGACTTGAATGGAATCACTATCTAATGGAACCGAATGGAATCATCATGGAATGGAACCGGAAGGAGTCATCATCAAATGGAATCCAATGAAATCATTGAATGGACTCGAATGGAATCATCATCAACTGGAATTGAATGGAATCATCGAACGGACTCCAGTGGAATCCTCGGAGAATGGAATCGAATGGAATTATCAAATGGACTCGAATGGAATAAACTTTGAATGGAATCGAAGGGAATCATCAAATGGAATCGAATGCTTTCATCGAACGGAATCGAATGGCATCACCGAATGGAATCCAATGGAATCACCATTGAATGGACTCGAATGGAATCATCATTGAATGGAATCGAATGGAATCATCGAATGGACTCGAATGGAATCATCATCGATTGGAATCAATTGGAATCATCGAATGGAATCGAAAGGAATCATCATCAACTGTAATGAACTGGAATCACTGAATGGAATCGAATGGAATCGTCATCAAAATTATCGAATAGAATAATCAAATGGAATCAAATGCAATCAACATCAAATGGAATCGAATGGAATCCTAGAATGACATCGAATGGAATCCTCATCGAATGGAATCAAAGGGAATCAATATCGAATGGAATCGAAAGCAATCACTGAATGGACTTGAATACAATCATCAAATGGATTTGAAGGGAATCCTCATTGAGTGGAATAGAACAAAAACATTGAATGGACACGAATGGAATCAACATCGAATGGAATCAAATGGAGTCATCAAATGGACTCCAATGGAATCATCATCAAATGGGATCATCATCAAATGTAATCGAATGGAGTCATCGAATGGACACGAATGAATGAACAAATGGACTCGAATGGAAACATCAAATAGAATCGAATGGAATCATCGAAAGGAATTGAATGGAATTATTGAATGGACTCGAATGGAATCATATAATGGACACGAATGGAATAATCATAAAATGGAATCGAATGGAATCATCAAATAGACTCGAATGAATGGAATCATTGAATAGACTCGAATGGAATCATCGAATGGACTCAAATGGAATCATCATCAAATGGAATCGAATGGAATCATCGAATGGACTCGAATGGAATCATCAAATGGAATCAAACCGAATCGTCATCGAATGGAATCGAATGGAATCATCGAATGGAATTGAAGGCAATCACCATCGAATGGAATCGAATGGAATCATCATCAAATCGAATCAAGCGGAAGGAATCATCAAATGGAATCAAATGGAATCATTGTTGAATGGAATGGAATGGAATCGTTGAATGGAATTGAATGGGATCACCAATGAACGGAATCAAATGGAATCATCTTCTAATGGAATCGAAAGGAATCATCAAATACACTCGAATGGAAATATCATCGAATGGAATCATGTGGAATCGTCGAATGAACTGGAAATGAATCATAATCAAATGCAATTAAAATGAATCATCATTGAAAGGAAACACATGGAATCATCATCGAATGGAATCATACGGAAACATCACAGAATGGAATTGAATGGAATCATCAGTTGGACTCGAATGGACTCATCAAATGTCCTCGAAGGGACGCGTCAAATGGACTCGAACGGAATCATCCTCGAATGGAATCGAACGAGATCATCGAAAGGACTCGAATCAAATCTTCAAAAGGACTCAAAGGGAATCATTGTAGAATGGAAATGAATAGAGTCATCAGACAGCCTCGAATGGAAGCATCATTGAATGGAATTGATTCCAAACATCGAATTCACTCGAATGGAATCATCATCGTATGGAATTCAATGGAATCATCGAATGGACACAAATAGAATCATCATCAAATGGAATCCATTGGAACGATCGAATGGAATCGCATGGAATTATCAAATGGAATCGAATGGAATCATCTTTGGATGGAATCAAATGGAATCATCGAATGGAATCGAATGCAATCATCATTGAATAGAATCGAATGGAATCATGCAATGGTATCCAAAGGAATCAACATTGAATGACCTCGCATGGAATCATCATCAAATAGAGTAGAAAGGAATCATTGAATGGACTCGAATGGAACCATCATTGAATGGAATCACCAAATGGAATCAAATGGAATCATCATCAAATGAAATCAAATGGAATCATCAAATGGAATCGAATGGAATCATCATTGAATGGATTCGAATAGAATCTTTCAATGAAATTGAATGGAATCAGCATGAAATGGAATCTAAAGGAATCATAGAATGGTATCGAATGGAATCATCATCGAATGGAATGGAATGGAATGGAATGGAATGGAATCAGCATCGAATGGAATCAAAAGCAATCATTCAATGGACTCTAATAGAATCATCGAATAGACTTGAATGTAATCATCATCGAATGGAGAAGAATGGAATCATCATCAAATGGAATCGAGTGGAATCATATAATGGACCCGAATGGAATCATCATTCAATGGAATAGAATGGAATCGTCATCGAATGGAATCGTATGGAATCATCTAATGGACACGAATGGAATCATCATCGAATTGAATAGAATGCAATCATCATCAAATGGAATCGAATGGAATCATCATCAAATAGAATCGAATGGAATCATCAAATGGAATCGAATGGAGTCATTGTCTAATGCAATCGAAAGAAATCATAGAATGGAATCCCATGGAATCAACATCGAATGGAATCGATGGGAATCATTATCAAATAGAATTGAATGGAATCACTGAATGGAATCATCATCAAATGGACTCCAATGGAATCATCGAATTGACACTAATGGTATCATCATTGAATGGAATAGAATGGAATAATCAAATGGAAACGAATGGAATCATCATCGAATGGAATCGAATGGTATCATCAAATGCACTTGAATGGAATCATCAATGAATGGAATCGAATGGTATAATCGAATGGAATCAAACGGAATCATCTTCGAGTGGAAACTAAAGGAATCGCCAAATGGACTCCAATGGAATAATCATCGTATGGAATCGAGTGGAATCATCGAATGTACTCGAATGGAATCATCGAATGTACTCGAATGGAATCATCGAATGGAATCGAATGGAATCATGGTCGAACGGAAAAGAATGGAATCATCAAGCGGACACGAATGGAATCAACATCTGATGGAATGGAATGGAATCATCAAATGGAATGGAATGGAATCATCATCGAATGGAATAAAATGGAATCATCAAATGGAATCAAATGGAATCATCAATGAATGGAATCGAATGGTATCATGGAATGGAATTGAATGGAATCGTCTTTGAGTGCAATGTAAAGGAATCACCGAATGGACTCCAATCGTCGGATGGAATCGAGTGGAATCATCGAATGTAGTCGAATGCAATCATCATCGAATGGAATTGAATGGAATCAACGAATGGAATAGAAAGGAATCGTAGAATGGACTCGAATGGAATCATCATTGAATGGAATCAAATGGAATCATCATGGAATGGAATTGAATGGAATCATCGAATGGACTTGAAAGGAATTATGCTCGAATGGAATCTAATGTAATCATCAAATGGACTCAAATGGAATCATCATCGAATGAAAACGTATGGAATCATAGAATGCAACTGAATGGAATCATTGAATGGACTTGTAAGGAATTATTATCGAATGGAATTGAATGGAATCATTGAATGGACTTGAAAGGAATCATCATCAAATGGAATCGAATTTAATCATTGAATGGACTCGAATTGAATCTTTGAATGGAATCGAATGGAATCATCATTGAATGTAGTCAAATGGAATCATCATCAAATGGAATTGAATGGAATCTTCATTGAATGGACTCGAATGGAATCATCATCAAATGGAATCTAATCGAATCATCAATGAAGGGAATCGACTGGAATCATCATCGAATGGAATCGAAAGGAATCATCAACAAGTGGATACGAATGAAGTCATCGAATGGAATTCAATGGTGTCATCGAATGGACATGAAAGGAATAATCGAAACGAATCAAATGGAATAACCATCGAATGGAATCCAAAGGAATCACCATCGAATGGAATGTTATGAAATCATCTCATGGAATCCAAGGGAATCATCATCGAATGGAATCGAATGTAATCATTGAATGAAATGGAAAGGAATCACCATCGAATGGAATGTTATGGAATCTTCTAATGGACTCGAAGGGAATCATCATCGAATGGAATCGAATGGAAACATTGAATGCAATTGAATGGAATCATCGAATGGAATCTGAATGGGATCATCAATGAATGGAATCAAATGGAATCATCTAATGGACGCGAATGGAATCATCATCGAATGCAATGAAATGTAATTCAATCGAATGGACATGAATGGAATCATCATTGAATGGAATCAAATGGAATCCTCATCGAATGGAATCGAATGGAATCATCAAATGGAATAGAATGGAGTCATCGTCGAATGTAATCGAATGTAATCATCGAATGGCATCGAATGGAATCATCGACTGGAAAAGAATGGAATCATCATCGAATGGAAATGAATAGAATCACAGAATGAAATCGAATGGAATCATCATGGAATGGAGTCTAATGGAATAATCATCGAATGGAATAGAATGGAATCTTCGAGTGGACACGAATGGAATCATCATTGAATGGAATCGAATAGAATCATCAAATGGACTTGAATGGAAACAACATCGAATGGAATCGAATTTAGTCACTGAATTGCATTGAGTGGAATCATCATTGAATGGAATCTAAGGAAATCATCGAACGGACTCGAGTGGAATATTCGAATGGACACGAGGGGAATCATCATCGAATGGAATTGACTGTAATCATCGATTGGACTCGAATGGAATCATGATTGAATGGAATCGAATGGAATCAACGAATGGACTCCAATAGAATCATCATCGAATGGAATCGAATGGAATCAAAGAATGGACTCTAATGGAGTCATCATCAAATGGAATCTAATGGAATCATCTAATGGACCTGAAAGGAATCATCATTGAATGGAATCGAATGGAATCATCGAATGGACTCGAATGGAGTCATCATCGAATGGAATCTAATGGAATCATTGAATGGACTCGAATGGAATAATCGAATGGGCTTGAGTGGAATCATCATCAAATGGAATCGAATGGAATCATCAAATGGACTCGAATGGAATCATCGTCAAATGGAATCGAATGGAATCATCATTCAATGGAATCGAATGGAATCCTCATCGAATGGAATCGAACGGAATCATCATGGAATGGAATCACCAAATTGAATCGAATGGAATGATCATCAAAGACAATCGAAGGGAAACATCGAATGGGATTGAACAGAGTCATCGAATGGAATCGATAGGAATCATCGAATAGATTCAAATGGAATCATCATCGAATGGAAACGAACGGAATCATCGAATGGACACGGATGGAATCATCATCAAATAAGACTGAATGGAATCATCGAATGGCATCGAATGGAATCACCATTGAATGGAATCGAATGGAATCATCGAATGGCATCGAATGGAATCATTATCGAATAAAATCAAATGGAATAATCGAATGTACTCGAATGGAATCATCAAATGTATTTGAGAGGAATCATCATCGAATGGAATTGAACAGAATCATCAAAAGGACTCGAATGGAATCCTCATTGAATGGAATCGAATGGAATCGTTGAATGGAGTCGAATGGAATCATCAGCAAATGGAATCGAATGGAATCATTGAATATCAACGAATGGAATCATCATCGAATGCAGTCGAATGGAATCATCAAATGAACTCGAATGCAATCATCATAGAATGGAATCGAATGGAATCTTTGAATGGACCTGAATGGAATCATCATCGAATGCAAACGAATGGAATCATCATCAAGTGGAATCACATGGAATCATCAAATGGAAAAGAATTGAATACTCATAGAAAGGAATTGAATAGAATCATCGAATGAAACCGAATGGAATCATCATCGAATGGAATCGAATGGAATCATCATCGAATGCAATTGAATGGAATCATCATCGAATGGAATCGAATGGAATCACCAACGAATGGAATTCAAAGGAATCATCATCGAATGGAACCAAATAGAATCATCAAATGGACTCGAAAGGAATCATCGAATGGGCTCGAATGGAGTTGTCATCAAATGGAATCAAATGGAATCATCAAACGGAATTGAATCGAGTCATCATTGAATGAAATCAAATGGAATCATCGAATGGACTCGAGTGGAAGCAATATCAAATGGAATCGAAAGGAATCATGGAATGCATTCAAAGGGAATAATCAAATGGACTCCAATGGAATCAAAATCAAGTGGAATCGAATGGAATCATCGAATGGACTTGAATGGAATCACTATCTAATGGAACCGAATGGAATCATCATGGAATGGAACCGGAAGGAGTCATTATCAAATGGAATCCAATGAAATCATTGAATGGACTCGAATGGAATCATCATCAACTGGAATTGAATGGAATCATCGAACGGACACCAGTGGAATCATCGGAGAATGGAATCGAATGGAATTATCAAACGGACTCGAATGGAATAAACTTTGAATGGAATCGAAGGGAATCATCAAATGGAATCGAATGCAATCATCGAACAGAATCGAATGGCATCACCAAATGGAATCCAATAGAATCACCATTGAATGGACTCGAATGGAATCATCATTGAATGGAATAGAATGGAATCGTCATCGAATTGAATAGAATGCAATCATCATCAAATGGAATCGAATGGAATCATCATCACTGAATGGAATCTAAGGAAATCATCGAATGGACTCGAGTGGAATCATCGAATGGACTCGAGGGGAATCATCATTGAATGGAATCGACAGTAATCAACGAATGGACTCGAACAGAATCATCATCGAATGGAATCGAATGGAATCAAAGAATGGACTCTAATGGAGTCATCATCTAATGGAATCTAATGGGATCATCTAATGGACCTGAAAGGAATCATCATTGAATGGAATCGAATGGAATCATCGAATGGACTCGAATGGAATCATCATCGAATGGAATCTAATGGAATCATTGAATGGACTCGAATGGAATAATCGAATGGGCTTGAGTGGAATCATCATCAAATGGAATCGAATGGAATCATCAAATGGACTCGAATGGAATCATCGTCAAATGGAATCGAATGGAATCATCATCAAATGGAATCGAAGGGAATCCTCATCGAATGGAATCGAACGGAATCGTCATCGAATGGTATCACCAAATTGAATCGAATGGAATGATCGTCAAAGACAATCGAATTGAAACATCGAACGGGATTGAACGGAGTCATCGAATGGAATCGATAGGAAACATCGAAAGGATTCAAATGGACTCATCATCGAATGGAATCAAATGGAGTCATCCAATGGACTCGAATGGAATCATCATGAAATGGGATCATTATCAAATGGAATCGAATGGAGTCATCGAATGGACACGAATGAATGAACAAATGGACTCGAATGGAAACATCAAATAGAATCGAATGGAATCATCAAAAGGAATTGAATGGAATTATTGAATGGACTCGAATGGAATCATCTAATGGACACGAATGGAATAATCATAAAATGCAATCGAATGGAATCATCAAATGGACTCGAATGAATGGAATCATTAAATGGACTCGAATGGAATCATCGAATGGACTCAAATGGAATCATCATCAAATGGAATCGAATGGAATCATCGAATGGACTCGAATGGAATCATCAAATGGAATCAAACCGAATCGTCATCGAATGGAATCGAATGGAATCATCGAATGGAATTGAAGGCAATCATCATCGAATGGAATCGAATGGAATCATCATCAAATGGAATCAAGCGGAAGGAATCATCAAATGGAATCAAATGGAATCATTGTTGAATGGAATGGAATGGAATCATTGAATGGAATTGAATGGGATCACCAATGAACGGAATCAAATGGAATCATCTTCTAATGGAATCGAAAGGAATCATCAAATACACTCGAATGGAATCATCATCGAATGGAATCGTGTGGAATCGTCGAATGAACTGGAAATGAATCCTAATCAAATGCAATTAAAATGAATCATCATCGAAAGGAATCACATGGAATCATCATCGAATGGAATCATACGGAAACATCACAGAATGGAATTGAATGGAATCATCAGTTGGACTCGAATGGAATCATCAAATGTACTCGAAGGGACGCGTCAAATGGACTCGAAAGGAATCATCATCGAATGGAATCGAATGGGATCATCGAAAGGACTAGAATCAAATCTTCAAAAGGACTCAAAGGGAATCATTGTAGAATGGAAATGAATAGAGTCATCAGACAGCCTCGAATTTAAGCATCATTGAATGGAATTGATTGGAAACATCGAATTCACTCGAATGGAACCATCATCTGATGGAATTGAATGGAATCATCGAATAGACACAAATGGAATCATCATCAAATTGAATCCATTGGAACGATCGAATGGAATCGCATGGAATTATCAAATGGAATCGAATGGAATCATCTTTGAATGGAATGAAACGGAATCATCGAATGGAATCGAATGCAATCATCATTGAATGCAATCGAATGGAATCATTGAATGGTATCCAAAGGAATCACCATTGAATGCCCTCGCATGGAATCATCATCAAATAGAGTAGAAAGGAATCATTGAATGGACTCGAATGGAACCATCATTGAATGGAATCACCAAATGGAATCAAATGGAAACATCATCAAATGAAATCAAATGGAATCATCAAATGGAATCTAATGGAATCATCATTGAATGGATTTGAATAGAATCTTTGAATGAAATTGAATGGAATCAGCATGAAATGGAATCTAAAGGAATCATAAAATGGTATCGAATGGAATCATCATCGAATGGAATGGAGTGGAATGGAATGGAATGGAATCAGCATCGAATGGAATCAAAAGCAATCATTCAATGGACTCTAATAGAATCATCGAATAGACTTGAATGTAATCATCATCGAATGGAGAAGAATGAAATCATCGAATGGACCCGAATGGAATCATCATCAAAAGGAATCGAATGGAATCATATAATTGACCCGAATGGAATCATCATTGAATGGAATAGAATGGAATCGTCATCGAATGGAATCGTATGGAATCATCTAATGGACCCGAATGGAATCATCATCGAATTGAATAGAATGCAATCATCATCAAATGGAATCGAATGGAATCATCATGAAATAGAATCAAATGGAATCATCAATTGGAATCGAATGGAGTCATTGTCTAATGCAACCGAATGAAACCATAGAATGGAATACCATGGAATCAGCATCGAATGGAATCGATTGGAATCATTATCAAATAGAATTGAATGGAATCACTGAATGGAATCATCATCAAATGGACTCCAACGGAATCATCGAATTGACTCTAATGGAATCATCACTGAATGGAATGGAAATGAATAATCAAGTGGAAACGAATGGAATCATCATCAAATGGAATCGAATGTTATCATCAAATGCACTTGAATGGAATCATGAATGAATGGAATCGAATGGTATAATCGAATGGAATCAAATTGAATCATCTTCGAGTGGAACCTAAAGGAATCGCCAAATGGACTCCAATGGAATAATCGTCGTATGGAATCGAGTGGAATCATCGAATATACTCGAATGGAATCATCGAATGCAATCGAATGGAATCATCGAATGTACTCGAATGGAATCATGGTCGAACGGAAAAGAATGGAATCATCAAGTGGACACGAATGGAATCAACATCTAATGGAATGGAATGGAATCATCAAATGGAATGGAATGGAATCATCATCGAATGGAATAAAATGGAATCATCAAATGGAATCAAATGGAATCATCAATGAATGGAATCGAATGGTATCATGGAATGGAATTGAATGGAATCGTCTTTGAGTGGAATCTAAAGGAATCACCGAATGGACTCCAATCATCAGATGGAATCGAGTGGAATCATTGAATGTCGTCGAATGCAATCATCATCGAATGGAATTGAATGGAATCAACGAATGGAATAGAAAGGAATCATAGAATGGACTCGAATGGAATCATCATTGAATGGAATGAAATGGAATCATCATGGAATGGAATTGAATGGAATCATCGAATGGACTCGAAAGGAATTATGCTCGAATGGAATCTAATGGAAACATCAAATGGACTCAAATGGAATCATCATCGAATGAAATCGTATGGAATCATCGAATGCAACTGAATGGAATCATTGAATGGACTTGAGAGGAATTATTATCTAATGGAATTGAATGGAATCATTGAATGGACTTGAAAGGAATCATCATCAAGTGGAATCGAATGGAATCATTGAATGGACTCGAATTGAATCTTTGAATGGAATCGAATGGAATCATCATTGAATGGAGTCAAATGGAATCATCATCAAATGGAATTGAATGGAATCTTCATTGAATGGAATCGAATGGAATCATCATCAAATGGAATCTAATCGAATCATCAATGAAGGGAATCGAATGGAATCATCATCGAATGGAATCGAATGGAATCATCAACAAGTGGAAACGAATGAAATCATCGAATGGAATCCAATGGTGTCATCGAATGGACACGAAAGGAATCATCGAATGGAATCAAATGGAATCACCATCGAATGAAATCAAATGGAATCACTATCGAATGGTATGTTATGAAATTATCTCATGGACTCGAAGGGAATCATCATCGAATGGAATCGAATGGAATCATTGAATGAAATGGAAAGGAATCACCATCGAATGGAATGTTATGGAATCTTCTAATGGACTCGAAGGGAATCATCATCGAATGGAATCGAATGGAATCATTGAATGCAATTGAATGGAATCATCAAATGGAATCGAATGGAATCATCAAATGGAATCTGAATGGAATCATCAATGAATGGAATCAAATGGAATCATCTAATGGACGTGAATGGAATCATCATCGAAAGCAATGAAATGTAATTCAATCGAATGGACATGAATGGAATCATCATTGAATGGAATCAAATGGAATCCTCATCGAATGGAATCGAATGGAATCATCAAATGGAATAGAATGGAGTCATCGTCGAATGTAATCGAATGTAATCATCGAATGGCATCGAATGGAATCGTCGACTGGAAAAGAATGGAATCATCATCGAATGGAAATGAATAGATTCACAGAATGAAATCGAATGGAATCATCATCGAATGGAGTCTAATGGAATAATCATCGAATGGAATAGAATGGAATCATCGAGTGGACACGAATGTAACCATCACTGAATTGAATCGAATAGAATCATCAAATGGAATTGAACGGAAACAACATCGAATGGAATCGAATTTAGTCATTGAATTGCATTGAGTGGAATCATCATTGAATGGAATCTAAGGAAATCATCGAATGGACTCGAGTGGAATCATCGAATGGACTCGAGGGGAATCATCATCGAATGGAAACGACTGTAATCATCAATTGGACTTGAATGGAATCATAATTGAATGGAATCGAATGGAATCAACGAATGGACTCGAATAGAATCATCATCGAATGGAATCGAATGGAATCAAAGAATGGACACTAATGGAGTCATCATCAAATAGAATCTAATGGAATCATCTAATGGACCTGAAAGGAATCATCATTGAATGGAATACAATGGAATCATCGAGTGAACTCGAATGGAATCATCATCGAATGGAATCTAATGGAATCATTGAATGGACTCGAATGGAATAAGCGAATGGGCTTGAGTGGAATCATCATCAAATGCAATCGAATGTAATCATCAAATGGACTCGAATGGAATCATCGTCAAATGGAATCGAATGTAATCATCATCAAATGGAACCGAATGGAATCCTCATCGAATGGAATCGAAAGGAATCATCATGGAATGGAATCACCAAATTGAATCGAATGGAATGATCATCAAAGACAATCGAAGGGGAACACCGAATGGGATTGAACGGAGTCATCGAATGGAATAGATAGGAATCATCGAATGGATTCAAATGGAATCATCATCGAATGGAAAGAACGGAATCATCGAATGGACACGAATGGAATCATCATCAAATAGGATTGAATGGAATCATCGAATGGCATCGAATGGAATCACCATTGAATGGAATCGAATGGAATCATCGAATGGCATCGAATGGAATCATCATCGAATAAAATCAAATGGAATAATCGAATGTACTCGAATGGAATCATCAAATTGATTTGATAGGAATCATCATCGAATGGAATTGAACAGAATCATCAAATGGACACGAAAGGAATCCTCATTGAGTGGAATCGAATGGAATCATTGAATGGAGTCGAATGGAATCATCAGCAAATGGAATCGAATGGAATCATTGAATAGCAACGAATGGAATCATCATCGAATGGAGTCGAATGGAATCATCAAATGAACTCGAATGCAATCATCATAGAATGGAATCGAATGGAATCTTTGAATGGACCTGAATGGAATCATCATCGAATGCAAACGAATGGAATCATCATCAAATGGAATCACATGGAATCATCAAATGGAAAAGAATTGAATAATCATAGAAAGGAATTGAATAGAATCATCGGATGAAACCGAATGGAATCATCATCGAATGGAATCGAATGGAATCATCATCGAATGCAATTGAATGGAATCATCATCGAATGGAATCGAATGGAATCACCAACGAATGGAATTCAAAGGAATCATCATCGAATGGAACCAAATAGAATCATGAAATGGACTCGAAAGGAATCATCGAATGGACTCGAATGGAGTTGTCATCGAATGGAGTCAAATGGAATCATCGAACGGAATTGAATCGAATCATCATTGAATGAAATCAAATGGAATCATCGAATGGACTCGAATGGAAGCAATATCAAATGGAATCGAAAGGAATCATGGAATGCATTCAAAGGGAATAATCAAATGGACTCAAATGGAATCAACATCAAATGGAATCGAAAGGAATCATCGAATGGAACGGAATGGAATCATCATCGAATGGAATCGAATGGAATCATCGAATGGACTTGAATGGAATCACTATCTAATGGAACCCAATGGAATCATCATGGAATGGAACCGGAAGGAGTCATCATCAAATGGAATCCAAGGAAATCATTAAATGGACTCGAATGGAATCACCATCAACTGGAATTGAATGGAATCATCGAACGGGATCCAGTGGAATCATCGGAGAATGGAATCGAATGGAATTATCAAACTGACTCGAATGGAATAAACTTTGAATGGAATCGAAGGGAATCATCAAATGGAATCGAATGCAATCATAGAACGGAATCGAATGGCATCACCGAATGGAATCCAATGGAATCACCATTGAATGGACTCGAATGGAATCATCATTGAATGGAATCGAATGGAATCATCGAATGGACTCGAATGGAATCATCATCGATTGGAATCAAATGGAATCATCGAATGGAATCGAAAGGAATCACCATCAACTGTAATGAACTGGAATCACTGAATGGAATCGAATGGAATCGTCATCAAAAAAAATCGAATAGAATAATCAAATGGAATCAAATGCAATCAACATCAAATGGAATCTAATGGAATCATAGAATGACATCGAATGGAACACTCATCGAATGGAATCAAAGGGAATCAATATCAAATGGAACCGAAAGCAATCACTGAATGGACTTGAATACAATCATCAAATGGATTTGAAGGGAATCCTCATTGAATGGGATAGAACAAAAACATTTAATGGACACGAATGGAATCATCATCAAATGGAATCAAATGGAGTCATCAAATGGACTCGAATGGAATCATCATCAAATGGGATCATCATCAAATGGAATCGAATGGAGTCATCGAATGGACACGAATGAATGAACAAACGGACTCGAATGGAAATGTCAAATAGAATCGAATGGAATGATCGAAAGGAATTGAATGGAATTATTGAATGGACACGAATGGAATCATCTAATGGACACGAATGGAATAATCATAAAATGCAATCGAATGGAATCATCAAATGGACTCGAATGAATGGAATCATTAAATGGACTCGAATGGAATCATCGAATGGACTCAAATGGAATCATCATCAAATGGAATCGAATGGAATCATCGAATGGACTCGAATGGAATCATCAAATGGAATCAAACCGAATCGTCATCGAATGGAATCGAATGGAATCATCGAATGGAATTGAAGGCAATCATCATCGAATGGAATCGAATGGAATCATCATCAAATGGAATCAAGCGGAAGGAATCATCAAATGGAATCAAATGGAATCATTGTTGAATGGGATGGAATGGAATCATTGAATGGAATTGAATGGGATCACCAATGAACGGAATCAAATGGAATCATCTTCTAATGGAATCGAAAGGAATCATCAAATACACTCGAATGGAATCATCCTCGAATGGAATCGTGTGGAATCGTCGAATGAACTGGAAATGAATCATAATCAAATGCAATTAAAATGAATCATCATCGAAAGGAATCACATGGAATCATCATCGAATGGAATCATACGGAAACATCACAGAATGGAATTGAATGGAATCATCAGTTGGACTCGAATGGAATCATCAAATGTACTCGAAGGGACGCGTCAAATGGACTCGAACGAAATCATCATCGAACGGAATCGAATGGGATTATCGAAAGGACTCGAATCAAATCTTCAAAAGGACTCAAAGGGAATCATTGTAGAATGGAAATGAATAGAGTCATCAGACAGCCTCGAATGGAAGCATCATTGAATGGAATTGATTGGAAACATCGAATTC